>NC_000004.12:180739562-181042593 GCF_000001405.40 Homo sapiens | reverse complement strand
GAGAATTGCTTGAACCCAGAGGTGGAGGCTGCAGTGAGCTGAGATCATACCATTGCACTCCAGCCTGGTGACAGAGCAAGACTCCGTCTCAAAAAAAAAAAAAAAAATTGCTGTGAAAATGGAAACCAGGGTCTGATTATTTCGTGCTAATACGTTTGCTTTTAATAAAGAGGTGGAATTTGAGATTGGTCTTGGAGACTGGGTAGGATTTCAATCAATGGAAGTAGAAGGAAAGCTGTTTCAGGTGAGATTTGTCAGTGGAAGACTGTCAACATTCATATCCTACATAATCAAGTTATGCAAACATATCCTCCTTATATAGGATCATGGGGGTAGTCAAATAGTAAAGGATAGGTATTTAAAGGAGGTGTGGTCAATAGGCAATGAGGAGCCACTGAAGATTTTTTAGTATGTGAATAACTAAAGGTGATATTTCCTCAAGATAAATCTGGCAGTAATATGAGGTAAAGATTGAGTATGTGTGAATTGGTGCCAGGAAACTAGCCAAAGAGCAACTACAGCATTCTGGCCACGGCAATTAGGCAGGAGAAGGAAATAAAGGGTATTCAATTAGGAAAAGAGAAAGTCAAATTGTCCCTGTTTGCAGACCACATGATTGTACATTTAGAAAATCCCATTGTCTCAGCCCAAAATCTCCTTAAGCTGATAAGTAACTTCAGCAAAGTCTCAGGATACAAAATCAGTCTACAAAAATCACAAGCATTCTTATACACCAATAACAGACAAACAGAGAGCCAAAACATGAGTGAACTCCCATTCACAATTGCTTCAAAGAGAATAAAATACCCAGGAATCCAACTTAACAAGGGATGTGAAGGACCTCTTCAAGGAGAACTACAAACCACTGCTCAATGAAATAAAAGAGGATACAAACAAATGGAAGAACATTCCATGCTCATGGGTAGGAAGAATCAATATTGTGAAAACGGCCATACTGCCTAAGGTCATTTATAGATTCAATGCCATCCCCATCAAGCTATCAATGACTTTCTTCACAGAATTGGAAAAAACTACTTTCAAGTTCATATGGAACCAAAAAAGAGCCCGCACTGCCAAGTCAATCCTAAGCCAAAAGAACAAAGCTGGAGGCATCATGCTACCTGACTTCAAACTATCTTACAAGGCTACAGTAACCAAAACAGCATGGTACTGTTACCAAAACAGAGATATAGATCAATGGAACAGAACAGAGCCCTCAGAAATAATGCCGCATATCTACAACTATCTGATCTTTGACAAACCTGAGAAAAACAAGCAATGGGGAAAGGATTCCCTATTTAATAAATGGTGCTGGGAAAACTGGGTAGGCATATGTAGAAAGCTGAAACTGGATCCCTTCCTTACACCTTATACAAAAATTAATTCAAGATGGATTAAAGACTTAAACGTTAGACCTAAAACCATAAAAACCCTAGAAGAAAACCTAGGCATTACCATTCAGGACATAGGCATGGGCAAGGACTTCATGTCCAAAACACCAAAAGCAATGGCAACAAAAGCCAAAATTGACAAATGGGATCTAATTAAACAGCTTCTGCACAGCAAAAGAAACTACCATCAGAGTGAACAGGCAACCTACAAAATGGGAGAAAATTTTCACAACCTACTCATCTGACAAAGGGCTAATAACTGAATCTACAATGAACTCAAACAAATTTACAAGAAAAAAACAAACAACCCTATCAAAAAGTGGGCAAAGGATACGAACAGACACTTCTCAAAAGAAGACATTCATGCAGCCAAAAAACACATGAAAAAATGCTCATCATCACTGGCCATCAGAGAACTGCAAATCAAAGCCACAATGAGATACCATCTCACACCAGTTAGAATGGCAATCATTAAAAAGTCAGGAAACAACAGGTACTAGAGAGGATGTGGAGAAATAGGAACACTTTGACACTGTTGGTGGGACTGTAAACTAGTTCAACCATTGTGGAAGTCAGTGTGGCGATTCCTCAGGGATCTAGAACTAGAAATACCATTTGACCCAGCCATCCCATTACTGGGTATATACCCAAAGGGCTATAAATCATGCTGCTATAAAGACACATGAGCATGTATGTTTATTGCAGCACTATTCACAATAGCAAAGACTTGGAACCAACCCAAATGTTCAACAATGATAGACTGGATTAAGAAAATGTGGCACGTATATACCATGGAATACTATGCAGCCATAAAAAATGATGGTTCATGTCCTTTGTAGGGACATGGATGAAATTGGAAATCATCATTCTCAGTAAACTATCACAAGGACAAAAAACCAAACACCGCACGTTCTCACTCATAGATGGGAACTGAACAATGAGAACACATGGACACAGGAAGGGGAACATCACACTCTGGGGACTGTCATGGAGTGGGGGGAGGGGGGAGGGATAGCATTAGGAGATATACCTAATGCTAAATGATGAGTTAATGGGTGCAGCACACCAGCATGGCACATGTATACATATGTAACTAACCTGCACATTGTGCACATGTACCCTAAAACTTAAAGTATAATAATAATAATAAAAAAATCTGGAAGTGATAAAAATAGCCCGAGGGCATTATTCATGGGACATAAAACCAACAGTTTCAAGATTAAACTGGCAAATGTTGATAACTCATTGGGTGTTGGGGATAAAAAAGCCCAATCAATAAAAACTGAAAAAAAAAAAAAAAACAAAAACTAGGCTACCCAGAAAAGATGACACCATAACCTTCAGTAAATCTAACTGGAAAAGACTGGTGGAGAATTTCATTAGAGAGAAAATGAGAGATTAGAAAACCATTGATCACTCCATGGGGCCCATCCTTTAGCAGGCATTAAGGTAGTACCATTTAGATCCAACCTGGTGGTCCACAGAATACACAGACATGCATAGATGTCTATACCTAGAGGCAGGAGGATGAAAGCGTATAAAGGAGCATGGTAGGATAGCAGGGGGTGGGGAGGGATAAGGGGAAAAGAGGGATACAGGGATGCTAGAAGCACACCTGGCTACCAAATAATTTTATCTTGAGCTGGCTTCTTTATAGAAAACTAATTCATGATAAGATAAAAACTATGATAAATAAATATAACCTTCTAATTGTCCTTTTTTTTCCTAGAAATCTTAGAGCTTTAATGATTAAGATCCTTCTCTACACATCACTTCCCTTGAGGATATTAAGTTAGTAATTTCTGTTTGCTTTTTCAATTTCTAGAAGAATCTGGAAAGTTCTCAACAGATAAATCTCACAGAAGGAATTTCAAGAATGAGATTAATCCATGAACAATGACAAAAAAGCAACCAACAAAAAACACAAGAGTGGCAGGAGATGCAGGAAATCATTTCATCTCTTCCAAGGAATATCTGGTTTAGAGCTGCCTTGTTCTTTGTACGTTTCCTCTGTTCAATCTGTTTTAAACTTCTTTCCTGATGATTACTGATAGGAGCTTAGGAAAATTCCTCCATCTGAAGAATCAAAAAGATATGCCTGGTGTGTGGATCTCTCTTTTCAAATGTCTACCTTTGTACATACAGTTTAATGAAAACTGTATTGTTTGATGGCTATTAATGTCATTAAAAGAACATTCACAAAGAGTTAATATTGAAAATGTCTCCAGTGCATACAATAATATTCTAAATGAGTGAAAAGTTGTCATTTTTACCTGAATCTAATTGCTCTATAGTGAATTGCTACCGTTTTTAGTTTTATATAAATTAATATGTTATTTAAATAATTTTCCAAAAGAGCTTGGAAACTAATTATTTGTCAACTAATGTTTTTGACATATAAAAATTCTGACGCACTATCCTGAAGTCAGATTAGTGGTTCTAGTAAAGTCTCCTATGAGCTTATGAGCTCTGACTCTCCATGGCTATTTGACTTCCACTGAGACGACAGAGTGCCAGCCACCAGGCTCTTTCCTAAGCACAGAGGATTCCTCATGCTCCTGCCCGCAATAAGCTCCACGTGCATTTCTGTGTCAAAGGCCTCACTAGTGGACATGGAGGACGTTCTTTTGTTTCTTGTTTAGTTGCCTCTTTCCTCAAACATTTCAATTAAGTGTTACTTAGAACTCTCCTAGGTTTTGGACGTAAACTTCGCAAAGTATATTGTCATTTTCTAAAAATGAATCATCACCATATAAATGAGATAAACTGTCCTCTTTTTCCATAATAATTATCCCTACTCACTTGAAGAATATAATTTTTTCTTCAGCTCATACGGACTTATCAATTTATGGAGATTTGAATTCTTTCTGGAAATTATCAAATTTTTCAAAAAGGGAAGGATGTCCCTTTTGAGGCAGAGTAAATGTTGTTTTTCAGAGTAAAGAAAATTTTAAAATCTCACAATAAACTAATGTTTATCTATTAAGGTCTTTACTAAACGAATGCTAATAATTTAATAATTTAATTAATAAATAGAAATTACTTTGTTTTACATCTTATAACTTTCATTTCTTATCTTTAAATAAAATTGTGGTAATCACATCTTAATATCTAGAAGTAGTTTGAAAATATGCCATGATCAAATGAAGATGAATAGATTTACATAGGCATTAGATTTTCTAGCAAATACTAGATCTTCCAAAACCCAAGTTTATACACTTTTTATTAATGTCATTTGATAGAAAAATTTACTTGTAACTTTTTCAGAATATACAAGACATTCACCTTTTTCCTTCAGGAAACAAGATTTTAAATTGAGCACATGGATGAGAACAGAGTAGAATTATTGTTGATGATAAGAATATTTGTCATTACTGATATGAATATTTTTACCATTCATAAATAAAATGCCAACAGAATGTCAATTACTTCTCTGGAGAACAAAACCTTTATGAATGATGAGACTTCAAGATGATGACCGGATATCCGAAGCCTAGTAACTGAGGGAATATATGTCGCTATTAACACTGGGAACTTTATTGTGTAGAGAAAGGAGGAAATACTCCCCTCTCAGAAGAAAGGAGAAGGTGTGAAAAGACTTGACACAAGAACATCAAAGAAGATAGCAATAAGACAATGATATCTAGCATTAGGCAAAAGTGTCTTGTTGTTGGGAAACTGATGATTATCAAGTTTTCCTGTTGGAATCAACTCATGGAGCTAGAGAATAGAAGAATGATTACCAGAGACTGAAAAGAGTAGTGGGAGGGCCAGTGGGCAGACAGGGATGGTTAATGGGCACAAAAAATAATTAGAAAGAATGAATAAGACCTAGTATTTTATAGTATAACAGGGGTACTATAGTCAATAATAATTTGATTGTATATTTTAAAATAACTAAAAGAGATAATTGGATTGTTTGTAACACAAAAAATAAATGCTTGAGGGGATGGATACAAATTTTCCAGGGTGTGTTTATTATGTATTTTATGCCTGTATCAAAATATCTCATGTACCTCATAAGTATATGTACCTAGTATGTACCCACACACATACAAAATAGTATAAGTTCTATTGTTGGGAAGCAAAAAACAAAAACAAAACACAAAACTCCTTCTAGATCAGGCATTAATACTACTTATTCCACCCATAGATCACTGCTTCAATAAAGTGAACGTGAATGGGGAATAAGGAAATTGAGCCAGCCAAGCACACATAAGGAGTGTGGGACCACATGGTTGGCAACCCACCAAAAGAACAATATTTTCTTATACAAGCCCTACTTATCATTAAAGAATATAGTAACATTACAGTCTAAAAACATAACCAAATTAATTTTTATTGCAGAAATATCCATGAAGAAAAATAATGAATTTATAAAAAATCAGTATAGTAAAACTACACAGCTTAGTAAAACATTATTCTCATATGTACTCTTTCATCTTGGAATACAAAGCAAACAAGTATGAAAAAGAGTGTGCTCATTCTTAGTTTGACCTATATTTCCATTGACAATGTCAAATTTTACCCCAGCTCTCTGTGCTCATAGAAAACAGCTTTGATGAAGAAATCCTTCCATTTTTTTGTTCTCCCAGATAATCACACTCCTCTGTGTTCCAAGAAATGGCTGAACGCAAAGGATGACCCTGGCCTCACATATTCCAAGATAAAATCCACCTTCACCTTCTTCCAGGACTCAGATGAGCCCCACCACCACCCAGGTTTTCTCCCTCTATTTGAGATCTTCCTCGTTAATATGTTCCTCTTATTGAAATAGCCTGAATAAAAATCATCTCCTTACTTGCCTGCTGCATTTTGTCTTTCATTCCCTAATATGTATTATACCAGCAACAAGTCACGGATGTATCCAATGTCACCCTTGGTGAAAAGAGAGACTGGCTGCACCTCTACTTTCATAGCTTGGGTGAAGAAAACATGATAGTAATGAGACAGGAATAATATAGAGTGGTCGCAGGAGAATAGAAAATTCCAGGTAGCAGTTTCACAGTAACACTGGAAATAGCCACAGAAGCTAAGGGCTGATAAGACCTGAAAAACCAGGGGGTGTGTGCCAAGCTGGCTAAGACTGACTGGACCCAACATGGTACTGGATTTGACCAAGGTTTCTCCTATGATCTCATTATATGCCCATTAGCATACAAATCACACACTCACTAGCGCCATGACAGTTCCAGGAGCACCTATATTTGGTGTAAAAATGGGAGGCACCACAGTTCCAAGAAATCTCCACATTTTTTGAGGAATTTTCTTAAATATTCCACCCCTTGGTTAAAGAAACCCATAAAGATAGAAACCCCAAGTTCCATTGCACGACTCTCTGTTGAGCATGCCTGCACTCCCTTATTTTGAGCATGTAAGATCCCATGTCTATATGAAAGGAAATAAATAATTCCTCCGAATACTAACTACAAGGAGATATGTGGACACATTTTTCATCAGCTTCATTGCTAATTTTTTTTTTTTTTTTTGAGACAGGGTCTCACTCTGTTGCCCAGGCTGGAGTGCAGTGGTGGGATCTTGGCTCACTGCAACATTGGCTTACTGCCTCAGCCTCCTAGGTAGTTGGGACTATAGGTGCGTGCAACCACACCTGGCTAATTTTTACATTTTTTTGTAGAGACAGGGTCTCACTATGTTGCCCATGTTGGTCTTGAACCCCTGTGTTCAAAGGATCCTCCTGCCTCTGCCTCTCAACGTGCTGGGATTACAAGTGTGAGCCACCACTCCTGGCCCAAAATATTTAAACTTAACAATTTTTTAAAATATAAATGGTAATTTGCTTGGACATAAAGAATTTCTATAACGTGTGCTCTTTAATGAAAGGCTTTTATATGGAAACCACCCACCTATCCAGTAGCACAGAGAAAACATGCCGACATTTGCAAATTTGGAAAAAAAAAAAAAAAAAGGAAGACATGGTGGGTCTTAAACTCTTGAAAACACAAAGATTACATTTAATCCAGGGATGGCTCCCTCTGCCATAATGATGTAGAAAGCAGCTCTCTCACCCTTGTGTGGCCGCTCCTGGTGTGAGGTGTCAATTGCACTCACCCTGTATCCTGCACTCCTGCCTTCTTCACCTCTATCCCACTCAGGAGAAATACACACATGGGTTGAGATATGCTATGCTACACTGGGGTGAAGTTGAGATTGAGAGACTAGGGATCTGAGGAAATTCTCTCAAGAGGAAGTATTCTAATGATTATAAGTGCTCAGAAAAATGCTTGCTTGAAGTTTCTCAGAGATGCAAATTAAGATGCAATTCAGATGTGGGGCACCTTTCCTTTTTCTTCATGACTAGTAATGTGAATGGCTCTTCAGAATGATATGAGAGACACTATTTACAATGAACCTTGATTTATATGAAAACTTAAAAAAATTTACCTGTCTTCTCTAAGTAACAAATTCAATAATGTGCATTGTTTGTTGGTTCATAAATGAATCCCTTCATTCACTCATATCATAGAGTCCCTACTGCAGAGACAAGGTAAGGAAGCAGGCGCAAGTGCATCTTGTAAGGTCAGGGATGGTTTCTCTGAGTAGAGGACATTCAAGCCAAGAGCTCAATGAGAAGTAGGACAGAGCTATGAGAGAACCCTTAGGCAGAGTGTTCCAAGCAGGGAAACTAGGAGGTGCACCTTAGGAATGAAAGAGCTGGTCTGTCCAAGAATCAGTAAGATGTGATTTCAACATGGTGAATGGGGAAGTTGGAGTGAGATGAGGCTGGAGAAGGGTGTCTCCATCTTCTGGGACCGTGTGTCATGCAGAGGAGTTTCATAATTTTTTAAAAGGTATTAGAAAACCATTCAGATAATTTTTATGGCGAAACCCTGTCTCTACTAAAAATGCAAAAATTAGCCAGGCATGGTGGCACTCATCTGTAATCCCAGCTACTCGGGAGGCTGAGGCAGGAGAATCACTTGAACTTGGGAGGCAGAGGTTGCAGTGAGCTGAGATTGTGACACTGAATTCCAGCCTGGGCAATAGAGCAAGATTCTGTCTCAAAAAAAAAAAAACAAATTAAAAAAATTAAAAAAAATCGCGCTATTGCACTCCAGCCTGGGCAACAAGAGTGAAACTCCATCTGAAATAATTTTTTAAAAAGGAAAGAAAACCATTCCAATAATTTTTAAACTGGAAAAATGATATGATTTAATAAGATTGTAAGAGATCTCGATGCCTCCTTTGTGAAGAATTGAAAAATGGATGATGGGAAGGAGGAAAGAAGAAAGTTGTATAAGGACATTTTCAGACACTATCTCTAATAAAGGGTTAGGAAAAAAGATTAAAAAAATCTAGATACCAAAATGATTCAGTTACATACAACAAACACTTATTGGAATATCTGTGACATTCCAAGCTCTGTGGATTCAGAGCTGAATGGTCTCTGTAATGAGGAGTTTTGAGTTCAGAGAACACACACCCAATAGTTTCTAGTTAGCAGGGAAACTTGCTTGTAACTGTCAGAGGTGTTTGAACCAGAGCAACTCTATCTTGAATAGGGGGTGGGTAAAATGAGGCTGAGACCTACTGGGCTGCATTCCCAGGTTGTTAAGGTGTTCTAAGTCACAGGATGAGAAAGGAGGTCAGCACAAGGTACAGGTCATAAAGACCTTGCTGATAAAACAGGTTGCAGTAAAGAAGCCAGCTAAAACCCACCAAACAAAGATGGCAACAAGAGTGACCTCTGGTCTTCTTCACTGCTATACGCCCTCCAGAGCCATGACAATTTACAAATGCCATGGCAACGTCAGGAAGTTACCTTATATGGTCTAAAAAGGGGAAGCATGAATAATCCACCCTCTGTTTAGCATTTAATCAAAAAATAACCAAAAAAAGAGCCCTTGCAGCTGCTCTACCTATGGAGTAGCCATTTTTTATTCCGTTACTTTCCTAATAAACTTGTTTTCACTTTCCTCTATGTACTCACCTTAAATTCTTTTTTGCACATGATCCAAGGATAGTCTCTTGGAGTCTGGATCCGGACCCCTTTCCATTAACATAACCACACAGCTTACTAGATCAAGAACTAAGACTGTCTATATCACCATGACTGTAATATTCCAGGAAACTCTTACCCAGAAGATAAGGCTGCACCATAAAATTGTTTGTTTTAGGAACTTCCTGAAAAGCATTTATTTAAAGGATAGATTACTTCACTAGGTCTCTCAGGATAACACATTACTCAAATCAGCAAACTTTAGCTTACCAAATGACTGTTTACTCAACAAGATTTGTTTCAATCCCCCTCTTTCCCTGATGCCATCGAACTTAAACCATTATATCATAAGCACTGCTCAGTCCCAATCATATTTCGGCATTAAAAGGCCTGATTTAAACCACATCTCAGCCTTGTACTTATATGTATCTGACCTTGTACTGCCCCTTACAAGACATTACTAAGACTGTAAGTGGTGATTGCTTTTATTGCAATGGGCAATAAACTTGGCTTTACTTGGTCAACAGAAGATTTTTGTGGTCTTTTCAGAGGACAGCAGTTGTCATCAGTAATTTTTTATTTGTTACCCTATCTCTTTTCCTTTTGTCAGCAAGGTTTTAAAAAGAAGTTTGCAAAGGAAGGGATCAATTTCCTAGTTTTCTGAAGGTTAGAGTAAGGGCTCGCCCTCATTCTGCAGCCAGTCAGTAAGTGGCAGTAGCTAGTAGAGAAAGCTGCCTCTACGCATCAAGGTTAGGAAGAAATGGAAAACATAGCAGAGGATTTGTGTCAGAGACAGGTATTGAGTTTTTAGCAGGTGAAAGACCCATGGAGAATCTGATTGGAGTAGAGTGAAAAGGAAACAATAATGTATGGGTAGGGGCAAGGAAGGCAGATATATTTCTGGTTTATTTTGAAGAAAAATGAATAGATATTTCTATATGAGTCATTTAGGTTAGATAAGGTACCATCCTGAGTGTAAGATGGATGGGTGAAAGAACACATTTGTTTTGCAAAAGGAAGTAGAAAAATGTTGACTTTCCACTTTCTGGAGAGAGGGTTCATGAACTCAGGGAGAAGGAGAATATTAAAAATACACGTAATGGGGGCCGGGCGCGGTGGCTCACACCTGTAATCCCAGCACTTTGAGAGGCCGAGGCGGGTGGATCACGAGGTCAAGAGATCGAGACCATCCTGGCTAACACGGTGAAACCCCGTCTCTACTAAAAAAAAATACAAAAAATTAGCCGGGTGTGGTGGCGAGTGCCTGTAGTCCCCCCTACTAGGGAGGCTGAGGCAGAAGAATGTGTGAACCTAGGAGGCGGAGCTTGCAGTAAGCTGAGATTGCGCCACTGCACCCCAGCCTGGGTGACAGAGAAAGACTCCGTCTCAGAAAAAAAAAAAAGAAAAAAAATATATATATATACACACACACACACACACACACACATATATCTATATATATATATGTGTGTGTGTGTATATACGTAGGTGGGTATATGAATAGGGGGAGGGTAAAATGAGGCTGAGACCTACTGGGCTGCATTCCCAGGTTGTTAAGGTGTTCTAAGTCACAGGATGAGAAAGCAGGTCAGCACAAGGTACAAGTCATAAAGACCTTGCTGATAAAACAGGTTATAGTAAAGAAGCCAGCTAAAACCCACCAAACCAAGATGGCGACAAGAGTAACCTCTGGTCTTCTTCACTGCAATACGCATATACATATATATACATGTATGCATGTGCATATATACATATATATGCCTATGCATGTGCATATATACATATATACATATGTATATATACGTGTGTGTGTATATACGTATATACACACACACGTATATATACACATGTATACACACACATAAGTATATATATACGTAATGGGGAAGCATTCGGCTGAGAAGGTACCAGCACTTTGGGTTCTTATGTAAGTAGACCAAAGCCCAGTGTAAAGTGAAGCAAAACTAGACCTAACCAATCAGAAACAGTCAGCTAACTTCTCACTAGGGACTTTCCCCCAGATTATACTCAAATAAGGCAAATGCCTAGAGGTAGCCAATCAAGCAACGTCTTTGCTTTGCTTGACATTTAGCCTATCCAAGCTGCTGCTCACATTGCTGGGCAGGGTTCCCTGAATCTCTCCTGGTTCTGATTGCCGCCTGATTCATTGCTGGGCGGGGTTCCCTGAATCTCTCCTGGTTCTGATTGCCGCCTGATTCATTGCTGGACCGGGTTCCCTGAATCTCTCCTGGTTCTGATTGCCGCCTGATTCATTGCTGGACCAGGTTCTCTGAGTCTCTCCTGGTTCTGATGGCCACCTGACTCATTGCTGGGCAGGGTTCCCTGAATCTCGCCTGGTTCTGATTGCCACCTGATTCATTGCTGGGCGGGGTTCCCTGAATCTCGCCTGGTTCTGATTGCCACCTGATTCATTGCTGGACCAGGTTCTCTGAGTCTCTCCTGGTTCTGATGGCCACCTGATTCATTGCTGGGCAGGGTTCCCTGAATCTCGCCTGGTTCTGATTGCCGCCTGATTCATTGCTGGGCAGGGTTCCCTGAATCTCTCCTGGTTCTGATTGCCGCCTGATTCATTGCTGGACCAGGTTCTCTGAGTCTCTCCTGGTTCTGATTGCCGCCTGACTCATCGCTGGGCAGGGTTCCCTGAATCTCGCCTGGTTCTGATTGCCGCCTGATTCATTGCTGGGCAGGGTTCCCTGAATCTCTCCTAGTTCTGATTGCCGCCTGAGTCATGAAGTATTCTTTGCTGAAACAAACTCTGCTAAATTTATTTCGTTTAAATTTTTCTTTTAACAAGAGGTAGGAAGAAATGAAGAAGATTTGAAGTCAGATTCAAGAAGACAACAGCACATTGGACCATTAGGGTAAAAGGGTTATCAGTGGGAGAGTATTGCAAATTAGACAATGCTGACATCACACATTTAATTTGAAGTAGCTATCTGTATTTTGGTTTGATGTAAGCTTTCCATGACACCAAAGCACTTATAAATGTTTCCTGTCCGTTCAAACCATGCATTCGTGAACAAAGAATCAGAGGCAGTGTACAAGGTTGGGTAAAGCAAGAGGAATGAGGAAAAAGGAAGATGCTGGCTTCCCACTCTATGTGAAATGGGTTGCTTGGACATTTTCATTTGAATATGAAAAGAGAGAGCGATCTCAGAGGATGGAAAAACTCTGAGAGCCTTAAAAATCCAGATTTGAGTTACAGGGACTTGAGGTATAGAAGAGAGTACCCAAGGGAGAATGGTAGCCCAACACACTTTTATAAGGCAAATGGAGAAATAAGAAATATACTGAGACTGGGAAGAAAATTCATTAGGTTATAAATATAAACCATATGCTCTTCAATTCTTGGTCTTCACACTAAAAGTTTAATTTTTGTTTATAAGGAGTGATTGATATAAAAAACAAAAAGTCATCTTTAGTTATTTTTCCACTCCCAACAATAAAGTGTGTTCTAAGCCAAGCTACCAATGAATTTAAATCCACTTTGTATTTCCCTAGCAAATACTCTGTTTTACCTTTTTGATAAATTATCCTTGTGCAGTGGCCAGAATCCCAAATATTTCCCCCCACAATCTTTTCGTTCCTTTTTTGTTATTGGGCAGATGGTCATGCCTAGTTCTGAGAATTAGGGACAATGAATTATCACCAACCAGACCAAAAGAGCCCACTGACAGAATCATTCCGTGTTCACTGGGCTCCATAAATATTAGCACACAAATTTGAGATATATGACAATCTTTTGGTATATCAGACTTTCAAACTGTAAATGGAGATAACATCTCCTTTGTATAATTCAATAAGTTTGTACAAGGATATAGGCATGACAAGATGGAAATTAACATATTGCCTTTATTGTCTACAAGGACTCTTCCACAGAACATTATGCAGAACTGGTTTAATACATGTTTTGTATTTTATATAACTACTAAATAACTATTTTATATTTTGTATTTTATATTCCTATAGTATTTCAACTATAAAGAATAATTAACTTTTAACATTTAAAAGTTGTTATATGTACTTTCCCATTTTGTGTTTTCATAGATATTATTGGCTGTCTCAGATGATACCTCCCCTCCTGTATCATCTCTTACATATATGAGCATGAAACTCCATGTGAACCATCCATAGTCTCCTGTGTTTCATCTGGTGCTAATAATGATTATTATTAATTATTTGAAAACAAAACAATACTTTCTATTTTCCACAATGACTACAGACTCTATAGTCCTTTTTTTTTTGGTTTGTTTGTTTGTTTCGAGACAGAGTTTCGCCCTGTCACGCAGGCTGGAGTGCAATGGCGCGATCTCAACTCACTGCGGCCTTTTCCTTCCAGGTTCAAGTGATTCTCCTACCTCAGCCTCCCAAGTAGCTGGGATTACAGTTGCGCGTCACCACACCTGGCTAATTTTTTGTATCTCTAGTAGAGATGGGGTTTTACCATGCTAGCCAGGGAGTCTTATACACAGTAAATTCGTAATAAAAATTTGTTGAATAAATGAAATACCTATTTTGAATTTTAAAATGGAAGGTAGCATACTCCAGTCTACCATGCCTAGCAATTAACAAGTAATAATATATGTCTGTATCGCACATTTTATTCTAGAGGCCTTGCTTTCCACATTGCAGAGATAGATGAAGGTGTAGGTAAGAACATCTCCTGTCTAAATCATTATAGTCTCTCTCTGTTTTCTTCTCTAAGAAATAGATATAGAAAATAACTAAGAAGAGAGAAAATTCACAATTATACATAAAATAAGAGGCAGATAATCACAGTTCTTTCCCCCTTTCCACTTTTTAACATATTAATGGTCATTTCATTATAAAAGGAACTCTAGAGGACCTCCTATTTGGTTCTCCCCTTCATCATGCTTCCTTAGAGTTATTCAATTTGTGATTGTTTCTGTAGTTAAAATATGCTATTAGAAAAGGGCTCATGCAAACATCTTTATTATCATGCACAAAGTAAGCAGATTTCAACCACAATACATAGACTTTTACAACTTTTTCAAAAATGTTACGTAATATGAAAAACAAAAGCTCTGGAGAATAAAAAAGGAAGAAAGAATTTTAGCTTTTCAAATATTTATCACTATATAAAAATTAAAAATCAGTGCTATTTTGAAAAGGATGTTTTATACACTGTAATATGCACATCTAATGCTGTATCTGAATAAGGTTAAAGAACCAATAACAGAAGTCATGAGGAAATGAGCTCTAGAATGCCTTGATGGACAGCACCCTTCCGTAGGGCATTAGATACAGAGGTACAATCACTGAAGCAAAGTTTATCACGGTCATCTATCAGCTGTTCAAACAACCAGCCCTTATCCAATCCTATGTCATCCTGATGGACTTCACTAGTTAAACATCACATCACTCCAGTGCATTAGGAAATGTCAATCTCATATCTAGTTACCTGACCAAGAGTAGGAGATCTTGAGGCAGCACATTTAATGTGACTGGGAGTAACAAAATACTTATCTGCCTTCCTCTTCCTGAGGAAATAAAGCAAGTGCATAAAATCAGAACTATCAGATTTCTATGAGCAACTAAGAATGAATGATAAAACTCTGAAGAAAATTTTAAGATTGAAAGCATGATTAACTGAAAGTGCAATGCTTCCAACAGGCTAGGACGCTCAGACAGACAGTAGACAAGTAAAAAATGCATTCATGTTGCCTAGATGCTGCTGAAGAAATCTAGGTAAGATTTTACTGAATTTGTATTTCATTAGTTGTGAGATACAGAAAACTGCCAGGCAGAATATGGAAACTTTACTTCCTGTAATAATTTCATTCAAATAATTCAGCAAGTGTTATTTATTTATTTATTTATTGTGGAATTCGCTCTCCACCCCAACATTTTACAGTTAACATTTGTTGGGTTACTTATGCTGGGCTAGATATTAGGTTCAAATTTTATGAACCGAACGAAGCCTTCTGAAGCAAGTATTTATTATTCCTATTTCACTGAGGAGGAAATTGAGACAAAATTAAGTAATTTGCTTAAGGTTAAATAACAGGGAAATATCATAGCTAGGATCTGAACCCAGATATGCTGACAACAAAATTGTTCTTGAGAAAAGCATTTTAAGTGTTTATCTAGTCCTAAAGTTATATTTGGCAATCAGTTTTTATCTTTTACTTAACAAATAGCTTTGTTACATTCTCTGGGCATACTAATGCATATGTTTCTCCTTCAGTAGTCATGAATCTTTTGGAATATCCTAAGAATCATAATATGACCAAAATATTAATGACAACACCTGCCTTTTTACCACCCTAGTGAAAAATGGAAGTATTTCATTACAAAGATGCCTGCTTCCCTATCCACTTTCCTCTTTAAGAATGGCTTTCCACTAAATTCATGATCTGAGTCTGAGAATGGAGGGTAAAAGTTATGATTTGCTAGGATTAGTCCTTTTGTCGCTTCTTTCACACTCACGATGTCATTTAACCTTAATATTTATTAAGATGCTTTATGTAGTTGACATTATGATGGATATTGTAGATACAACACCACTTAGAAACTAGAACAGGTCAAAAGAGCTTGCATTTAAAGTATCCATTATCTAATAATGAAACACTCCTAATTCTCAGTACATGTATAAGGGCCAAAGTCAAATATTTTCTCCCTTAGTTGGACCTGTTTTAATCATAGCAGAGAAAAAAAAAAGAATTTCATTTCTTGGTGAGTGCCTGCATATACAAAGATCCTACAAGAAATACTGCAGGAATCAAATAACTTCAAAACACTTAAATTGCTTAAGAGCTGTGGAATGGTGTTGACCTATATCTAAAAGAAAAACGAAGCAGACGACAGAGCAATGTGAAAGTTGAATGTTCTCAGATGTCAGTGGGAGCTCTGTGGGATATGGAACAAGATAAGAATTCATTTCAATTACACCAGTAATGTGGATTCTCGCGTAGCACAATAACGAGTATTTTGTTAGCACTACCAATTTACCTTATCCTAGCTGTAGCTATTTTTTTACAATGTAATGGATGTGTATGTGACAACAAGTGCTGATTTTGTAAATAAAGACTCATGAAGAAAGAAAAAATAAAATGTGTTTAAAGATAGAGATCAAAAACTGGTTTTTAATATGAATGTGGAATGCAGAGATATGATTGAAGGGATTAGCATAATGGATTTACTTAGCTATTGTATATTGAAAAGAAAACAAAAAATATATATAAATGTTGAGCATTTATATATTGAATATTGACTATATGGGATCTTCCAAAACAGGATTCTGAATGAATAAATCCTACTTCATATAATAAACAAATATTATAACAGTTAAAAATTCTAAAACTATATTCAAATATAGTCTGTTGGCAGAAATCCCTAAACTTAAATAGATTTTTATGAAGAATTACTAGAGAAGTATTTGTTAGAATTTTTATTATAACCTGAATCATGTAAATAACAAAGGAAGGGAATTCCCTACTTTGAAAATATTTTAAGGCACTATCTAGTACATATAATAATAAAAACTCAAAGTAATTTTTTCTTGCTCAAAAAAAAAAATGTTACCTGGAAATGTGAAGGGTCTCATATTAAACAAAGCCAAGATCTTTACGCTATAGCTGACCACAGAAATTGATGACTGGCCTCATGACACTGATGCTTGCTGCTTCAATATAGGATTTAGAGTAAATTTTTAATGTGAATTGAATCTTGAAGTAGTCAGAATTTTATAAACTGAATGTGTTGGTGATGCTATCTTATTTCTTTAATAGATACTTGCCTTTATTGAATTTTTTGACTCTTGCTAAAATTCAATCTCATTGCATAATGATATAAATTCAACAATTGCTAACAAAGTGAATTTCATCTTTAAAATAGCCAAAAGTAAAATCTGTGTATTATGGGGATTTCAATATTTCTGTCACCAAGGTTTTTTTTCTTTTTTTAACCTCAAGTCAAAGAAGGAAGTGGAAAATGTGTAACTTTGACCTCTCATCAAATAATAATTATTATTATTTGGCCAACTACTGACATTGGCCAACATGCCAAGTACTGTGCTTAGTGTCATACTGGCATTAGTTTATTCATTCATTTAAATTTTACTACAGCATTATGAGTCAGTTCTCTTGTATGAGTGGGGAAACTTTTACCTACAGCTAACCAAAATACCAACTCAAACATTTTTCCAGGTAAGATGATGTATTCTCTTACAAGAAGCCCAGAAATGGGTGGTTTTATGGTTGGCTCAATAATGTCCTCAAAGAGTTGGTCCTTTCCACCTCTCTTCCTGCCATCCTCTGAGTAGGGAAGTGGGGAAAGGGGGGACTCTGACCTCAGGGGAACTATCCTCCAGTTGGCCCCTCTGACAATTAAATTGTGTTCCTCAAAGAGACATGGCTAAGTCCTAACCTGCAGTACTTATGAATGTGACCTCATTTGAAAAGAGGGTCTTTGCAGATGTCATCAATTTAGATGAGATTGGGTGGGCCTCAATGCAATATGAGTTGTGTCCTTAATAAAAGAGAAAACAGATATGCAGGAGGAGAATGCCAAGTGAAAAAACAGACACACAGAGAGAAGATGGCTATATGAAGATGGGGGCAGAGATTGAGGTGATGTTGCCAAAGTGGAGGAATGTCTGGGGCTACCCAAAACTGGAAGGAACAAGGAAGCATCCTCCCCTAGAGGCTTTGGAGGAAGCATGGCGTTGCCAACACTTGATCATGGACTTCCAAGCTCCAGGAATGTGAGAGGAAACATTTTTGTTGTTTAAAGCCACCCAGTTTGTGGTCCTTTGTTATGGCACCCCTGGGAAACTAATACAGCTTCCATCTTGGTCCCAAACTACTGTGGTAGTGCTCATCACACCTTAATGCAGCAAAGGACAGATGAAGGAATAGAACTATGTCACCTTTGAGTCTCTTTCTTAGGAGTGAGAAAAATAAAGTGCTAATCTTTCTATAGAATTCTATCATAATCCCAATTAAAGCCAATGACCAGTAAGTGCAATGGAATTGCCATGGTTTGCTTTGATTGATCATTTTGGGTAGAACAGTTATTAGGGATTAATCACCTTAACCATTACTGTTTTCATTATATGCATACCACAGACCAGGCAACTGAGGCTATGCAGAGGAGTTCACCTACTATAAAGCTGTAAAGCCAGGTTTCAAAGTCAGAGCAACCTCTCACCTCACAGTTTAGTGTACCCATCAGTGCTACCATTTATATGGTTATGGTATCTGGTCCTATTCTTCACAAATTATAATCTACTGTGCTTTCCTTTACTTTGTTAATCCTAAAGAGAATCATAATTAAGAGATTGAACATGAATATTTATTTGGTTTAAAGCTTGAATCTTATAAATCAAATTCAGTTACACTCTACATTTCAAGGAGTGATGAGCTGTTTCCGTATTCTAGTACTGAAGACTTAATTCATGAAACAGTTTCCTAGTTGAGGAAAATGAATGACATTATGACTTAGTTTAGGCTGCTATAATGAGGTACCATAAGCTGGGTGGTTTATAAACAACAGAAATTTACTTCTTACAGTTTTGGAGGCTGAAAGTATGAAACCAGTGTGCTAGCATGATTGAGCCCTCTCCCAGGTGCAGACTGCCAACTTCTTCTATCTTCACGTGATGGAAAGAGGGTGAGGGACCTCTCTGTGGACTCTTTCATAAGGGCACTAATCTTGTTCATGAGGGCTCCATCCTCATTATCTGATCACCTCCCCAAATCCCCACCTCCCTATTACCATTGCATGTTGCAGTGTGGGCGAGAATTTCAACATATGAATTTCATGGGGACAAAAACATTGGGTCTATCGCATATGAGGAAAGTAGAAAAGTAGAAGTTATTTCAGAAGTAAAGTGCAAGAGAATTAGAGGAAATCTACACCAGCAAGCTGAATAAATATAGGGCAAGAAGAGAAATAGAATTTGAAGGCAGAGTATGAGAGAGTGTGGAGCGAGGGCAAACAGTTATCAAATGGTAACTAAATGAATATATTCTTTTTATACAGCTCATTATATTATATAATCCTCATTTATTCAATCTTAAACTCCAAAAACATGGATCCATGATGACATTGATCTGAGAAGACAGCTAGAGTGCTTCTTTGTTGAAGTTTAAAGTATTATTCAAAATATATATCAATGGAACCTGGAAATGTGACAGTGGATACCTTCATTGTCTATGATATCCATTTCATTTTTATTTCTAGCTTTGTTACGTGGTATGAGTGTGAGTGCACACATAAAACAGAGATGAACAGAGTTGCATGGTAGAGGGACAGTTGTCCCTCGGTATCAGTGGGAGGATTGATTCCGGGACCCGTCTCCCTCAGATACCACAATTCGTGGGTGCACAAGTCCCGCATATTAGTCCATTTTCACGCTGCTGATAGAAGCATAAGAGACTGGGCAATTTACAAAAGAAAGAGGTTTATTGGACTTACAGTTCCACATGGGTGAGGCGGCCTCACAATCATGGTGGAAAATAAAAGGCACATCTCATGTGGTGGCAACAAGAGAGAGAATAAGACCCAAGTGAAACAGGTGTTCTTTAATCAAACTATCAGATCTGGTGAGAGTCATTCACTACCATGAGGACAATATGAGGGAAACAGCCCCCATGATTCAATTATCTCCCATTGCATCCCTCCCACAACACATGGGAATTATGGGAGCATGGTTCAAGATGAGATTTGGGTGGGGACACAGAGCCAAACCATACCATCCTTATACAAATGCTCCAGTATGCTTTAAATCATCTCTAGATTACTTACAGTATTTAATACAAATGCTTCCTAGTTATATTTTGTTTTTAAATCATATTTCTTATTCTCGTATTATTATTTTTCAAGTATTTTTAATCCATGGTTAGTTATATCAGCAAATGTGAAACCCACAAACACAGAGTGCCAACTGCATGATAAATGGGCCATACGAGACTTACAGTGACAGTCCATAACATTTTCTGGCTATTGAGATCCCATCTCACAGATTTCCTTATCAATACTTTTTCTCTAATTAACTGTACCCTATCTTCCTACTCTAATCAAAACCTCCCTTCAGCTATCACCACTCATCACTTAGAAACAATCTGACAGATGTAATGATACAAAAGAACTTACGCAACTGCTGGTGTCTGAGGTGTTTGAACCAGAGCAACTCCATCTTGAACACGGGCTAGGTAAAATAAGGCTGAGATCTGCTGGACCGCTTTCCTTGGAGGTTAGGCATTCTTAGTCACAGGATGAAAATTAGCCAGGTGTGGGAGCAGGGGCCTGCAGTCCCAGTTACTTGGGAGGCTGAGACAGCAGAACTGCTTGAACCAGGGATGCAGAGGTTTCAGTGAGCCAAGATCGCGCCACTGCACTGCACTCCAGCCTGGGTGACGGAGCGAGACTCCGTCAAAAACAAAGCAAGAAAGGAAAGAAAGGAAAGGAAAGAAGAAAAAGAAAAGAAAAGGAGGCAGTTGGTACAAGATACGGGTCACAAAGTCCCTGCTGATAAAACAGGATGTGATAAAGAAGCCAGCCAAACCTGCCAACACCAAGATGGCAATGAAAGTGAGCTCTGGTCATCCTCACTGTCCATTATATGCTAATTATAATGCATTCGCATGGTAAGAGACATTTGCACAAGCTCCAGGACAGTTTACAAATGCTATGGCAACATTCGGAAGTTACCTTAGATGGTCTAGAAAGGGAAGTAACTTTCATTTCCAGGAACTCCCCACCCCTTTTCTGGAACACTCATGAATAACCCAACCCTTGTTTAGCATATGCTCAAAATATCACCATAAATATAGCCAACAAGCAGCCCTTGGGGCAGAGTTGCCTGTGGAGTAGCCACCCCTCTATCTCTTTACTTTCCTAGTAAACTTGCTTTCACTTTACCCTCTTGACTCACACTTGAGTCCCTTCCTGTGCAAAGCCAAGAATCCACATGGCCTCCTGGAATGAACCCTAATTTTGGAGTTTGCCCTGTGACCCTGGACTCTTCAGACAGTGGTGGTAGAGAAGGTTCTATTTTAAGGAAAAATTATAGCCCAAGTCATGATTCTCTAATGGTGGAATTCCAGATCCTATGGAAAAGCTGAGGCCAAATGACACACAAACCATAGAATATTGACTGACTTCCCTCTAGGACAAGTCTAACTCTAGTCTACATACTTTCAAGTTATTTTATCATGTTGCAAATTTTGTCAAAACAAGAATATCTTGGCAGTTACATGAGGGACACGATTATTAATGCGATGACATTTAAAACTGCTTTTTATATGTAAATACTTATTTCAAAACCCACACCTTAATTATAATATAGATACATATTTATTATATTTATAAGATATACACTCTGAAAATACTCAATGAATTAAGATAATGCCAGTGTTTACTTACGGAATGCTTTCACATGCAAAAACCACTACAAGCCAAGGGCTTAAATGAATAGACTACTTTCACCTTTATACTCACATTTGAACAGCTAAAAGAACTATTCTTTTGTAACCAAAGAGGTTCGACTACAGGGGTCAGTACTTCAGCAGATGCCAAAATATTCTTGCAAGTTAAAGCTTTCTAGAGAGCTGTGGAATTCACCTAAGCTGAAGGGAAACAGCTGGAGTCTGATATATCCAGTATTAGTGTCTACAGTACTGCAGATGAAAGTGAAGTGGCTGACAACATATATATAATGCTTTTTACAAGTATCACTGAAAACAAAAGTATGCTCAGTAATACCTGCGGTAATTGATAACCTTTACACTCTGGATTATATTGATTAAACCATTCAGAAGATGCCAAACTATTACAGTGGGGCTTTCTGCGTTGGTGATGCCTACACAAAGCACCATGTCCCACGTGCCTGTCATCAGTGATGCCTGCAGTAACTGATAACCTTTATACCCCTCTTACATTGGTCAAGACATTCAAGCCACACTATCCTATGAGAGCGTATTTCTGGATCAACGACTACACAAAACATTATGCACAATATCACATCCTAACTCTCTGTAATGCCCGAATATACATTCATACTAGTGAAGACAGTGTTTAGAAAATAATAGAATGTGCTTCTTTGAAGTATGCATTTATTCTACTTCCTGGTTCTAAATAGGCATTTTTCCTAACGAACAACTTATCAAAACACACAAAGCATTTGAAAGCAACATTACTGATTGGGTTAGGCTTTACTTAAACTACTTGGTTTAATTATAATGATTAAGCTGCCTACTGGGGATTCAATTTTTAATGACTTAATGTGCTGTTCATTAAAATGTCACCTTGTGAAGTTTTTCTTTATCCTGTTATCAACTTACTGGGCGCTCAAACAAAGATAAACATTATCTGAAAAACCACTACTGAAGCAAGTACGAATTTTGGCCTGCAAAGTTAGATTTATAGGTAATATGACCTTTCCCCCCCCCCCAACAGTTTAATTTGAGTTTAAGTCTCCATTTTGAGGGATGAAAAAAGGAAAAAAGAAAAAAAAAAACATAGCACACCTCACACCATTCACATTTTCTTTACTTAGCTCTGAAAGGCACTGGCCTAAGTCAGCGGTATGCTGCACCCCTTCATACTGGCTCACAGGCATTGATTGTTAAAATTGAAAGCTGGTTGACATATTGATAGCCTGGAATTCACTATGGTGGATGGATTTATACCAGGGGATATAAGTAACACTACAAATCAGAGCTACACCCAGAAATGGCTGTTAAACATGACCAGCATACTAGACTCTACAACTGATTTAATGATCAGCATTAACTTCAACAAATATTCTTCAATGCCATTTGGGATTGTTATGGTCAGAATTGTGTGCAGCCCCCAAATTCGTATGTTGAAGCCTTAACCCCTAAAGTAACTGTATTTGGAGACAGGGCCTTCAAGGAAATAATTAAAGTTAAATGAGGCCATTAGGGTGGGGCCCTAATCCAATATGATTGATGTCTTTATAAGGAAAGAGAGAGACAAGGATGTTTGTGCACAGAGGAAAAGCCATATGAGGGCACAGTAAGAAGTTGGCCATCTGCAAGCCGAGCAGAGAGAACAGACGGCAGGAAACATAAAATCTGCCATCACCTTGGTGTTGGACTTCCAGTCTCTAGAAGTGTGAGAAAATAAATGTCTGTTGTTTAAGCCACTCAGCCTGTTGTATTTTGTCATGGTAGCCCTAGCAAACTAATTCAGTCACTCAGAGCACAGGAGAAAGTAACATGCCTAACACATCACTTATAACCTAAAAGAGTTTGTAACCTTGTTTTGCCGCAAGACGTATGTGAACGTGACAGTGCAAGAGTGTATGTGTGGTAAAGAGAACTACAGTTCACTGGAGAGAGAAGAAACATCTGGTTGGGAAAATGGAGTTCATGGAGGACGTGGCTAATGAGCTGGGTTGTAACCAACAGAATCCTGATAGGTGGTAATAAAAGGAAGCTCGATGAAGTCAAAGGCAGAGAAGTGAGAAAAACAAATGAGTTTTTAAAATTACTGATACTTTCGTTACAACATGGGCTTAATGTGGGAGACTAGTGCAAATAAGTGTTCTAAGATTAATTGGTGAGTCATAAAGGACTACAGGACTAGGCAACGTTTTAGAGATGAACAATGACTTGGAGGCTAAGAGTGAGATCACTAAGTGAGCCAAGAGCTGAGTACAGATTCCAGGGCTGGAACACCTGTGTTCCAATCACAGCTTCATAGTAACAGGCCTAAGGTCTAGGTAAGAATTAAATAATTAATACAAAACACTGCTTAGGTTTCTACTTGGAATGCAAGTGCTATGGATTAGCTAAAACAAGAACAAACAAATGAAAAGTTCTAGTGGAAATGATCAGGATATGGATTTGAGAGTCGACGAGCGTATTCTGCCGTTAACAGTACCACCGACTGGGTGCCTGAACAACAGACACTGATTTTCTCACAGTTCTGCAGGCTGGTACTCTAAGATCAAGGTGTCTTCAGGGTCTTTTTTTTTGGAGATGTCTCCCTTGGCTTGTAGATGTCTGTTTTCTGTTTGAGTCTTCAACAAGGTCTGTACTGTCTGTGTCCAAATTTCCGCTCCTAAGGACACCTGCAATATTGGATTAGGGCCCTCCCTAATGACCTCATTTAAACTTAATTATCTTTTTAAGGATTCCTTCTCCAAATACAATGACATTCTGAGATACTAGAGATTATTAGCACTTCAATATGTGAATTTTGCAGGTACACCACTCAGCTCATGACAATGGCTAGTAGAAAACAAGAGAATGTGTAACTATTTGCATGATATAGTGACTGAGAGAAGAAGGGGAGAAGTAAAAGATTATTCCAACATCTACATCTAGGGAAAAAGTTGGGCCTAATAGAATGAACTCGAAAAAGCATGAACACTTTCCTATTCGTCAATAAAGAAGAAAAACAGGTTTTAGAGCCAAACAGATTTTGATTCACACTCCAATTGTGTTGTGAGATCTGGAACATCATCTCATTTAATCTCAGTGAACTTGTCTACAAATAAATTTTAAATATCCACGTTGCAGTATTGCTAGGAGGATTCAACGAGACAACTTCTGTAAATATATGTAGAATAGTGCCAGGCATCGAATAGAAGTTCAAAGAATATTATTTTTGATTTGTTTTCATTACATTGTTCGTTGGTTTCATTATATTGAAGGAGGACAGAAATGCCGAAGCATGCTCTAATTCCTAAAGTTCACCTCAACGTTAGAACCCACCTATCAAAAGTGATCTTTTGGGATGTTTTGTTTATAGGAGCCTCTTAGAAGGTATATTTGCATGTAAATGTATCTATCACCTGGTAGTAGGGTGACTAACGAAGGAGGCTGCATCAGTAAAAACAGGTAAATAATGAAAAGAATAACAACATTTACTGTAAACAATATTGTCCCGAGACTGACTGTACTTAACAATGACAACCATTCTTCTCAAAATTCAGGCCGGGCATGGTGGCTCACATCTGTAATCCCAGCACTTTGGGAGGCCGAGAGGGGTGAGTCATTTCAGATCAGGAGTTTGAGACCAGCCTGACCAACATGGTGAAACCCCATCTTTACTAAAAATACAAACAAATTAGCCAGGCATGGTGGCACATGCTTGCAGTCCCAGCTACTCAGGAGGCTGTGGCAGGAGAATCCTTGAACCTGACAGGCAGAGGTTGCAGTGAGCAGAGATCGCACCACTGCACTCCAGCCTGGGTGACAGAGTGAGACTCCATCTCAAAAAAAAAGAAAAGAAAAGAAAAGAAAATTCAATTGGAAGTCAACATTTACATTTGCATTGTATTTTTATTCCATACGCATACTCCATATTCTAAACATAACTTGAACGATCTAATCATTTTTACTTCAAAAACAAAGAGAAGAAAGTGACCACTATTTGTTTCAGGAAAATAAAATTGCTAAAATTAATATTTTAGAATTCAGGATTTGCTTAGTGGTCCATGAAATACAAAATATTTCATTTAGAGATCATGCTTTACCATAGGAGCTGAATTCAGAATGAAGATCATATTTTATAATTAAATGTCTGGAGCAGACAATGCTTTTTGTACAGATTCTCTAGTGTTATAATACAAAGATACTGCATCGTAGAGCTCAATCTAGTCATAAGATTTCTGTCTATCAAGAATTTTTATAATTCAATCTTTATATTGGTGGAGATAAAGGGAATATGCTTGTACAAAACCTTTCCTTCTTTCAGTTCATAAAGTAGCTTTCTTATATAATTTATAAAATATCCTTTTCTTCATAAATTGAATGTCATGGTGATATTTGTGTTTCAAATTTAGGAAAAATGATTATACTTAATATACAAGTTTAAATGACAAAATATTATAATTTTAATCATTTCAAAAACTTTTTAATGTCCGAACTTATCTTCTTTCTTTATTAAACAGTATAATAATCATAATTGCATTTCTTTTGAAACCTTAGAACTGTCATATCTAGCAACATATTTTCTATCCTAACATGGTGTGAGGATGAATTCAGGACCCATGGGCTACAGAGTGTGGAGCTGACTGCCAAGCCAGCCCTGCCCCCTCAAGGGGTCTGAGTTCCTTGCTTTCTTGTGTTCATGTGCCTGAGGTTTTTACTTTTGTTGTTCACTCTTCTTTTGATTATTGAGCTGTTAGCTGCCCTTCATTCTTTCCCATATATATATATATAAAATATATACATAATATATATAATATATATTATATATATAAAATATACATATATATAATATATATATAAAATATACATATATATAATATATATATAAAATATACATATATATATAATATATATATAAAATATACATATATATATATATAATATATATATATATTCTTCTGATTTTTTTTTCTAACCATGTTGAGGGTCAGGGAGATAACCCCCAGACACAGCACCCCTCTGTATCAGAAATAATCGTGGGCAAATCACTTACCCTGTAATTTCTGGGCAGGTAGGAGAAGATGCCTGTGCTGTGGCAGAATGGTTGAAGGAAATAAATGTCATGGTACATGGCATGTGAAAAGCACCTGACTCACAGGGGTAATTAACTGGAAGGACCACTACCTTTGTATTGACTGCCCAAAGGTTTTCTTCATTAGAAACAGTTAGCATTTTGGATCAATGAAACTGTCAATATTTCAAAATATTACTGTATTTTAACTTTATATAACCTAGAATGCTGCAACTGAGGTCTCACAATCCCCTCCATCACTCAAGGCAAGGTGTAATTTCTGTTGTGCATGTTCATTCACTTCATGAGAAGAATAGAATGGAAAGATGTTTTCACAAGCTATCACATATTATCACAGCTACCATAAAGCTCTTTCAAGATAATAGACTATGTACAGAATATTACATTATGTAGTGCAAAATCCAGTTTCATATATAGGCTATTGTATAGCCCTGAAGATTCTCTAACTTGTGATAAAGAATAATTTTAAAGATCATTAACACAGAAGTAAATTATTAAACAGACAATGAAAAATCACTCCAGCCAAGGAAAGTAGTATAAGCCAATTAGTAATTTATTTTAAAAAGCAAAGGGGTATGTTCTTAGGGGTCGCTTGTTTGGTTGAAACAGGAGACCAAAAGGAAATTTTCTATCCTGTTCTTTGTATATCAATCAACCTTTGAAACTACTTTGACAGTTAACCTAAGCATCTATTTATGTAGCATAGAAAGAAATAAATTGAGTCCCTCCAAAATTCTTCTTTTATAAATGTAGACTCCTGGAATTTACCTCAAAAATTACTAAAGCATTCTTTTGAGAATTCTTTTGAGAATTCTGCATTTTTAACAAGTTTTCCCTGGGATTCTTATGCTTTAAAATATAAGAACTGCAGCTTTAAGACTGACCTTATTATTTCTGGATTTTGAGTTAAATTATTAGAATATAAAGGAATGGATTGATTCTGGGTACCCCAGACCCTATATAGGTTCCTCAATGCAACCAATGATACATGACCAACATCTTTCTTTTGGTTCATCCTAATGGAGAATGACACATGCCTTTCTGTATCACTTAGTCATTCAGTCGATATTTATTGACCAACTACTCTGTGTTAGGAGACAAAACAGTGAGCAAAAGCAGACCCTGTTTTGCTCTGACAGGATATTATGAATTGAACTGTGCCTGCAAAATTTAAATGTTTAAACAATGTGATGATATTTGGAGATGGTGATATACATACGTTCTCTCTCTCTCTCCAAGCCTCAGATGTGGTAATCTGCAATATATTTTAACCACGCATAGTAAAACTACATTTTTAGCATGGCATTATGATATTTATACAAAACCATTTATGCATTAGGAAATTTATATTATCTATGTGGTCTCTAAACCTTCACAACAAGCTGGGCACAGTGATATGAGTTTTCAAACTCACTTGATAGATCCAGAAGCTCAGAGAGTTTAAACAACTTGTCCAAGGCAAGATGTCTGGGCAGTAGCCATTCCGGGCTTAGTCTTGTATATCACTCTTGTGAAGGAGGCCGCTTGACCTTACAGAAGAAAGGCTTTGCTATGGAAGGTGTACCTTAATGTTTGAGGCTACTCTTTTTATTCTTTCCCTGCTCTGATGTTTACACGTTTTAATTGATACGGAGACAAAATTTAAGGGGGATTTATGTGTCACCTTTGACATTACATCTACCTTTTTTCATATACTTATTGAGAGTGGAGAGGACTAAATAATGGCTTCCCAAGTCTCTTACCTAACACACTGCATTTCTGCCTCATCCTAAAGCATGATTCTCATTCTATATGTGAAAACCATCCTTGCCAGCTCCCTCCTGTAGCGAGTTCTGTAATTTATCTTAATGGTCCAGCCAGTCAGGGGGATGTGTCGTTAGGGCATCCTACCAGCCTTTGATAGAAGATTCCCAAACAAATATCCTACAACTGGTGTTCAGTGGCCTCTAGTGCTGAGTATCCCTAATTCTAAAAATGTCATTGCCAACCCTTTTTCTATTGTGAATGCAGAACAACATCTATCCCCTCATATTCCTTTTAAACAACAGACCTCAGGCAGATCTCAAAAGTCTTTTTTTGCTATCAGCAGTCAGATCTTTTCTTCAAAAAAATCCTTCACACTGGGTACTTCTTAGAGACTGTTTTTGGCTGTTCAATCGTTTGCTTCTTCATCCTTTAATTGGAAAGCTTGCTGCAGCCTGCACACGCTACTTTTCATGCTACTGGCATTATGTTACCACCTTCCATTCTGTTTTCCCATATTTATTGATCCTTCTGAGGATTTTTTTTAAAAGACCTCGTCTTTCTCTCTGATTCCTTTCGGTCTAACTCATGCCCTAATCTCAGGTTCTGTGTTCCTTCCCCTTGCTTGTATTCTTTTTTTCTCAGACTTTAGTTTCAGCCACACTGGGCCTGTTATTTTCATTCTCTGTAGTCATTTCCACCATTAAAATCTCAACATTCTCCCTTCCACCTCCTTTTAGCTCTTCTATAGATTTCAGTTAAAATGATTTCTTCTGAAGGAAGTGTTTTCTCGTTTTTTTTTTCCTTCAAGGATTTTCTTTGCCCCGCTGTTTTCTTAAAGAAACCCTGTTCATCCCAAGCTTCGTTGCGGTTTTCTTTTATTTTTGTCCATTGCCGTAATGTGGCATCCATCCTCTTTATTCTCCTTCTGTCTCTGAAGCCCCCTCTGAGGGTCACCCTCCTCTCCCTGGGAGGCTTCCCAGTCTTCACTGGAGCAGATGTTACTGTTTTCTTCTCTTCCCCTTTTGTGGAGACGCCTTGAATCTATCCCAGCTGTGCCACCTTCACGTTGATGATGACATGTGCTTAACCAGTTTGCGTAGGTATGGTCCTTTTCCTTGCAGAGATGTCATATGATTCTCTTTTTCCAGCGACCACTGCTGCACCCCTATTCTCCCTAACTAAAATGATGTTCCTTTCCACATAGTCATTTTAGTTAAATGGTTTGTTCAACTGTGTGTGTGTGTGTGTGTGTGTGTGTGTGTGTGTACAAAATGGAGGAGTCCTATATCAGCCAAATCCCTTCTTTGACTCTGACTAACCTCATTCTGACTTTGCCAACTCTCTTTGAATTTTGTGTGACACCATTTACATTCCTAAACTCACTTTCTGCCTTTAACAGAAAGTGTTACAGTGAGAAAAAAAAAACATATTACAAACAAAGTCACTAAATTTTCCACATTCTCTGCTTTGCTGAAGAGAGGAAATGAATATCTGTGATATTCACTCGATTTTCTAAATAGAATGGCACAGTTCTCTTTATGCTTTGTATTGTTTTTCTCTTGGAACCATTGCTTCGAAAGTCAACTCTGGCTATTGCTTTGAAGCTACATCTTTTATGGGATTTGAATTAAAGACAACATAACCTCTTAATTCTAAACAAGTTAATGATCCCTTCCAAAGACCATGTTGTTCCAAGGCTATTTTCATTATTTCTGAAGGAGAAACACACACACACACTTTTTAATTTACACATCTTCTTGATATATTCTTACTGTAATAGCATATTAAAGCAGTATGCCTATCTACAGACTATCTAGTTGAGTTTCCTTCTTCTTCCATTCAACACACAGGAAGAAAAGTGCTCCTTTCAAAACTGTAGACATTCCTCCTGTCTTTACACACTCTTAATAATAAAATCAAACAGACAAACCACCTTTCTTTTTTCATTTCTTCTTCACTGTTTTTCTTTCCTTTTTGCTTTTCTAACATATTGACCTTAAAAATTTTTTTCTTTGATAATTTTCTCCAAAATTTTGATTGACAAATCAGAATGAGAGAAAGGAAAAAGGATTGTTCTTTTCAATTCCCCATCTGTTTCTTCTGCTGTTGTTCTGACAGTTCCTCCGTCTTCACGTGACACCACAGCACACTTCCACAACTCTTGACGTATTGACTTGACTTGCTGTGTTTTTTCCTATCGTAAATCCACTTCTCACCCCACAGTGGCCAGACTGGGTTCTTCTCATGACACTCCAGCTATTCTTAAGTGAAGGAAATGGAGGATCATTCAGGTAGAGGCAATTGTGGGCAACTGCATTACTAGATGCTTCATTCTTGTTTGTTTCTAATTTTTGAAGTTCAGATCAATCTAGCGTACACTCAAGTATCAAGAAAATCTTTCTAATACTCACATTGAAACTCAAGATGGATTAAAGACTTAAGCTTAAGACCTAAAACCATAAAAACCCAGGAAGAAAACCTAGGCAATACCATTCAGAACATAGGCATGGGCAAACACTTCATGACTAAAACACCAAAAGCAATGGCAACAAAAGCCAAAATTGACAAATGGGATCTAATTAAACTAAAGAGCTTCTGCTCAGTAAAATTGTGGAAGACAGTGTGGCGATTCCTCAAGGATCTAGAAATAGAAATACCATTTGACCCAGCCATCCCATTACTGGGTATATACCCAAAGGATTATAAATCATGCTGCTATAAAGACACATGCACACGTATGTTTATTGCGGCACTATTCACAATAGCAAAGACTTGGAACCAACCCAAATGTCCATCAGTGATAGACTGGATTAAGAAAATGTGGCACATATACACCATGGAATATTATGCAGCCATAAAAAAGGATGAGTTCATGTCCTTTGTAGGGACATGGAAGAAGCTGGAAACCATCATTCTCAGCAAACTATCGCAAGGACAAAAACCCAAAGACCGCATGTTCTCACTTATAGATGGGAATTGAACAATAAGAACACTTGGACACAGGAAGGGGAACATCACACACTGGGGCCTGTCATGGGGTGGGGGGAGAGGGGAGGGATAGCATTAGGAGATATACCTAATGTAAATGACGAGTTAATGGGTGCAGCACACCAACATGGCACATGTCTACATATGTAACAAACCTGCACGTCGTGCACATGTACCCTAGAACTTAAAGTATAACAAAAATAAATAAATAAATAAAAAGAAACTATCATCAGAGTGAACAGGTAACCTACAGAATAGGAGAAAATCTTTACAATCTATCCGTCTGACAAAGGGCTAATATCCAGAATCTACAAAGAACTTCAACAAATTTACAAGAAAATCTGAAAACAAAGAAACCAAGTAACTAGACAGAGCACCTCAAGAAAATCGGTAAAAAGCTACCACTAAATCCTACTTCCCTGGATACATACCACAATTCTAGTCTATTAAGGCCACTGAGGATTCACACAATTTTACTCCCTACCTTAGGGATGATCAAACATTACTAAATTATATACTCGATTTTCAGTTTGGGGTGTGTGTGTGTGTGTGTGTGTGTGTGTGTGTGTGTGTGTGTTGAGGGAGAAATAAAAAAAGAGAATGGTGCAATGAATCTACATAATTTTCCTGACTTTCCGGCAGATTATCAAGGAAATAAATCAAAATTTTATTTCAAAATAAAATAATGAATAACTCAAATATCTAGTTTTCTTTCATATGTACAAGAGCTAAGATATATAGCTTTGGGGACTCTTTCAAATATTCTCCATAAAATACAAATTAAGAAGTTAAATATATAAGAACTCAACTACAAATGATTCTATGAATATAATTATTCTAATAGTAATCAAATGATAACTGCCAGGCAGAAAATATACTAAGTATTTTGTGTACCCTATTTGCTTAATCCGTACAATGACTCTACGAACTAGGTAGTTTATTATCTTCATTTCACAGATGAAGAAATTGAGAATAATAAATAGCATCAACTTGCCTAGCATCATGCAATAACTACCAGGGCTGAAATTCAAATCTAAGGAATCTTGTTACTTTTAGCTATCAAATCTATATTATATTGTAGATATTTTTATATTCCAACCATATATTATATGTTACTGCAAAGTTTTCTCAGCTATTAGAAACATTTTCTGTAAGACCTAAAGTTTTTTGTATGTTTCTTCATTTATTTATGTTTTGTTTTTGCTTATTTTATTTTATTTTTTTACAGAACATACCTGGATGTTTTAGTGTGGCTCTTTCTGGTGGGCAGTTTTAGTGCAAAAATTATGCTCCTAAAATTAAGAACTTTCTACATTTGAATTTTGGCTTCTAAAATTAATATTACTATTGTTTGCTGGTTTGAGTCCATTTGTATTATTTGTGCAACTATAATCTATATTATGATGTAATCAAGCCACAGAAAAAGAATAGGGTAACCTCTGGCAAAATCATCTGATAATACCTTGTTTTGACTCAGGAAACACCAGGGGCTCAGATCTGAAAATGGTGGGAACCTGATAAATGCTTGTTGTACAAAACAAACATGCGGAGAAGTTAAAACAGAAGAAGAAATGAGAAAAAAAAAAAGAATTGACAAATATCTAAAATAATTATGTATGAATAGGAGCAGAAAAACACTTAAGAAATAATTGTAACTCACATGAATTTTGTACAAATAAATAATTATAAAATGAGAAACTACAAATATTTTAGTTTGGACTTTATATTAAAAATTAAACAGTAATATTTTAAGTGTGTCAGTGCAGATGAACAAAATATTTAATTCACTAATCAAAACAAATATGCATTTATTTGAACATGTATGTTTCTGAACATGCATTTTATGGAAAGCCACATACAAAATACAATAGATTATTTTAAAATTCCTGCACACCTTAGTAAAATACATCTTTTGTATTACAAATGAAAAGAAAAAGATACAGTTTTATGCCACAGAGTACAAATCCCTAAAACCACCATTCCCCATCCCAGTGTAAACAACAACAACAAAACCTTGCGTTATTACAGGTGACTGACCTAATGTTATTTATCATAGTAATTAATTTAATTTGGTATGCTACTTTGGAACTGCTAATGCTGGACTTTTCCTCCTTGAAAGTACTAATATGCAATAAAATGAGTCATTTTATTAAATTTATCATATAATATATAGCACATATCAGGAAGAGACATCATGCCTTGGTTGTAAATAAGGGTTTCTGCAAAAAATTATGGTTATCTCAGCACTGCTATTACCATAAAATCCGGATTTAAGTTCATTCTTTCAGAAAAAGCACTACCAGACTAAACATTATCTGTAAAGCCATAGATATTCTGATGGCATAGACAGAATACAGCTAGTCTAAACTTTAACGAGCATATTAATCACGGTCATGTGCAATCAAACTATATATGGCTGAATGAATTCAAATACATGTATGATAAATGAGTTTTTGAAAATAGGGGTTTATTGGACCTTCTACGGTAAGATGGTGGCTGCCTTTTACCTCCACGTTTGCCCTGTTAATATTCCAACTAGATGCTTGTGATTCCTGAGTGACTTGGAAACGTTCTCAATAGTGGAGAGTAGGTAATGATTACTTAATATGGCAGCACCCTCTGACAACGTGAAACATGATATTTGTGACTGTGAAACTCTGGTAGCCTAGATTAGATGATAACCCATGAAACCACAAGTATTTGTCCAGTCATTTGATTTTGGAAAACAAGGGAAAGGGATGAAAGGACATACTATTGGAAGATTTTAGAAAAAAAAAGAATGAGTATACTTGAAGTAGGATTTAAGGGACCTTATACAAATTCACAGTTGCATACATTAATTTTACACAGTAATAAGTTCAAAGATTTATACTTATTGTATATTAAGAAAACTTTATGCTTAAGTTGAATGCAATTAAAATCACTTAGATTTCCAAGGAAGACAATCTTCTGTGTTGAAAATCACATGAAGGCAAGGATTCTGAAGAAATAGCGATCAACCTTGGTTCTTTTTGTTAGAAGCTATAAATCGTGGTGGAATTTTTGACTCTATGATGGTTGCAATGAACTGCTGTCCTGGGTCTGGGCAGTTACGTGTATCTTGGAGTAAATCCAGGAGCGCTAGATGACCCTTAGCTAACCGAGGTAATTATGCTATTTCTTTTGGAATGTACTTATTTGAAATCATGATTAGTTTTGCTTCTAGATCTCAGGAAATGTTTATGGAAATCAAGTATAATTATTTAAGGTTTCCTGTGCTTGCCAACCAGATAATTCATTGGTGGCATTTGTACCAGTATTTGCATTTAACTGATGACTGTTCAAAGAGGTTGAGTATTGACAGTTATCATATGATTGAATATCTGGTTTTTATGTTATTTATTACCCTGAATAATATTTTTACATAATCACCCAAATGGTACACTTCATTTCTAATGATCACACTTGAACTTATTTAAAGAGAGTGAAAATATTATAAAATGATATCAAGACATTATCCTCCTTTGACCATATCGCATGGGAAACATGCAGAAAATAACAATCACCCATGTTGTGTAAATTTTCCGAACAATGAAAGGTGCAATTTTTGATTTCTAGTTTTAAAGAGTGCTTGCATTACAAATCTAACCATTAGTTAATAAAAGGACACTATATGGGGTTTAAATATTTGTATTTACACAAAGTGGTTCTAAAATGAGGAATATAACTTTTAGGAATGAAATGGGTTATATTTTTAATGTCTTGATATTCAGAGGAGAAGTGATAGTTTTCTAAATATTAAAAAAAATCTTAATTGTTGGACATTTTAAGTGTAGTTTCCAGCCCAAGGGCAAGTGCAAGATAGAACAGACATAAAAAATCTTAGCGTCACTATTTTAATTTCTGGCATTCACAGCATTTAGCAGTTGAATGTCTCAAAGGAAAACAACTACTTTCACTTTTGCCTCCTGCAGCCACCCTGTCAGGGGAGAGGTCTGGGCTCAGAAAACGCAGCTCATTAAAATGAAGAATTTTCTCCGACTTTGATATTCACAGTTCACTGGGGACGTACTACCTTTTCACCGAGCTATTTTGTCTGGAAGGGGGTTGCAACACAGCAGACTATACCTTAATTAAACTGCTTTAGTCAAATTCATTAGGTCTCTAACATTTGTAAAATATGTTAAGTTATGATACTGATATGCTTAGTATATATTTTTTAAATTGTCAAGGTTTCCCGTTTCCTTATTTAATTGGTGCATTGAGTGATATTCAGAACAATACTTTCATCTGCCTCGTAAATGTCTTCCTCGCATGCAGGCTACATGCTCTTTGTATTTTCTTGCAGTTACTGCTGCTTTCAGATGAGCATAGCTGGTTCCTAAGCCTATACACATTTAGGCTTAGAGTCATTATCCACGAATGGAAAATTTGTCATTCAAAATTGAATTTTACAAATAAAAGTCTTAATGTTCTTCTACTCACTTTATCGTACAGCAATTGGAGGTGAAAGATTTAAACGTAACCACTGTAACAAAAAGAGCCAACATATTAACACACACTCCCATCAATACACTAATTGGGCAGTAATTGTTTATAATAGAGATAGGCTTTCTAAGTATTTCTTCTAACTGGCTTCTGTAGACAGACTACAAAAGAACCTTTTCTTGTGCTCCCTGAGAAATTTCCTTTTGTCTTTTAATAGCTATGAATAATTTTGACTCTGTTGGCTTCTGGCACTAAAGGACTTTGTAGTTTCTTCTACATTCCAGCAGAGAAAATAAAATTTCTCAGGCAAAGCTTAATGTTCCCTAAAATTCTCAACTTCTATACAGATGTTAATTTATAAAATGACAGCTCAAAAATTGTACACAAGTGTACTGTTTCTTATTTTAGAAAACCTTATATAAGTGTAGAATTTTAAAAGTGAGAGAGAAACAGAAAGGTTAAATTTTTGGTTGAACAAACTGACAATAGAAGATTTATATTATCAAGAGTTTGCAGGATATCTATTTTCCACCTCATGAACTTATTAGTTTGTAGGAAATGTCCTTTTAATAATAACTCATCTCGATAAAAGTATTAAATTTGTATTTAATCTACTACAGATATTAATATAGTAAGCTAAGATCTGTAAGGCACCAAAAGTATTCTGGAAAGAGAAAAATTATCAGAAAAGGGGAATCGCTGAAGATAAGGTAAAAGATAAAAGTTGATGTGGGTCAGACTATAAAGAACTATGAATGCAGTGTTAAGGATTTTATTTATTTATTTATTTATTTATTTATTTATTTATTTATTTATTTATTTTTGGTAGAGAGAGGGTCTCGCTGTCCAGACTGGTCTTGAACTTCAGGGCTCAAGGGATCTGCCTGCCTTGGTCTCCCAAAGTGCTGGGATTATAGGCATGAACCACCATGCCTGGCCTTGATTTAAAAATTTTAAACCTTGCTGAGTCACTAAACATTTCTGAGTAGCAGATTGACATAACTTAAATAATGTCTTAGGAGCCATAACCTGGTTGTGGTACAGACAATGGATTAAACATGAAAAATGCAGACAAATGACACGAATTAGAGGCTGATAATTAGACTCATGTGGGGTGATGGAAGTTTAAATCAGAGTCATAATAGAAGGAATGGGTGGAGGTAGCAGGTATTTTGGGGGAAAAAAAAAGAACACAAACCTGTGGAAATGTAGAACTAGGGATCTGGAAAGAGATGGTGGCCACATGGAAAAAGGTGGAAGTTAGCTATACGATAGACATAAGATAGACAACATACATATTTCCTTGAAATAATCAATAGGAATAGGTGAGAACAATCAGGAGAAAGAAACGAAGGCAGTCTAGGATTCAATTCTGGAAACAGTCCACATGTGGTAGGTAAGAAACACAGAGTTTAGGAGACAGATGATTTTCAATTAAAGCAGAAGGAAAACTAGGAAATATGGGGCATCCTTGTTAAGGCCGACCGAGGAAAGAGCAGCAACAGGACGACTTATCCAAACACTAGCAAAAGCAAAACAAATAAAAGCTGGCGGCGGCCAGAGGACTTGGAAATCTGGATGTCATAGGTAACTTTTGAGGGTTAAATTCAAAATAGTGGTAGAAGACAAAAGATGATCAGTTAGGGGATCCGTTGGCGGTAAGGAAGTGAAGCTATGGTTCTAGATCCCTCTGTGAGAATGGTATAGAGTGAAAAGTGGGCAAAGAGCTATAGAGTGAAATCAAATATTGTTTTTCTGAATGAAAAGTGAGAACTAAATTAATTAGGATAGAAAATGAAACAAAAACTGGAAATGAGAGATTGACGACGCTGGTGAAAAGAAAACTGGAAGTCAATGGAGAAGGAGGGAGAAGTCGTGGGATATAATTTGTATTATCTTTCCTTCCTCACATTGGCCAGACGCCTTGAGAATAGCAATGCCATACTGAGTGCACACCTTTCACTCCAAACAACCATTGTTTCAGAAAAGATATGCACAGCCTCAGCATGCATCGTCCTTGTAGCCTCAGTCACCTATCATGTCCATGATGCTCCATAAGCACAGAATTCAGGTGGACCCACAGTACATGATAGCTCAGCAAGACTTAAAGCAGGTACAGGTAAGCAAGTTACAACTAGGACTGAGTAAGAGGGGTGCTGATAGCTCCATTTCAAATGCAGAAGAAAGGCAATGGTGTTCTAATAAACACGAATGCCCTAAGCACCCCACCATATCCTTTCTTGCTTACGGTACTTCACTGTATTAGTCAACCACTAGCAATGAAAATGATTTCCTTTCGATTCTTCCTTACTCATCAGTAAATCAAAGGCAGAGAGTATTGGTAGAAGATTAGCATGTCAAGGAGTTAAATAAAAACAGCTGAGTTAGTTTTGTGCAGCATTTTTATTGTACTAACGAGAATACAATACTTCCTACTATGTGAGCTACAAAATATGAACTGTGTAATTTTGGTGATTCTACATATGAGTTAAATGCTCTTATATTTGCATATAAAACTGGCATTGCATAATATAAATATGAGCATTAAAATTTATGCTAATAATTTAAAATTTAATTTTTTACTTAGAAAAGTATGAAACCGCAAACAACAAACATCATATCACAATGAGAGACTGACTGCAGAAGAAAGTAGACAGACCTATATTTTAGCACCTTCAATTATACCTTTTCTTTCCTTTTGAACAAGGGCCATTCATTTGCATTTTGCTCTGGGCTCCACAGATTATGTAGTTGTCTTTGCCCTGAGACCGTGACATTTGAGGTCAGGCCTTCATGCCAAAAATTGCAACTATGAAAAGATGGGATGAAACCTATTTCAGGCATAAGGAAACATGAATACAAATGATAGAAGGTGGGAATAAGCTAATTGTGTTCGAAGAACAGAATGAAGGCCAGGGTCTCTATAATAGCAACAAAAGTGGTGCAAAATAACGTCAGAGTGGTAGGTGGAGGTGAGATCTTGTAGATGTCTCCTCTCCTCCTCTCCATATGGGGAAGCTATTGGAAGCTGAAGACAGGGGAGTTGTATGATGGACACCAGTCATAAAAAGATTATCCTGATACAGCAAAATGCAGAACTGAACTATTGCCAAAGGATCCCCTCCTGGTACAAACCCTTAGAAGTGATACCTAAAATGTAACAATAAGCACCAACATTTTAAAAATTTATTATTATGTTTTAAGTTCTGGGATACATGTGCAGAATGTGCAGGTTTGTTACATAGGTACATATGTGCCATGGTGGTTTGCTGCACCCCTCAACCCGTCATCCACATTAGGTATTTGTCCTAATGCTATCCCTCCCCTTTGCCCCCACCCCCCCCGACAGGCCCTGGTGTGTGATGTTCCCCACCCTGTGTCCATGTGTTCTCATTGTTCAACTCCCACTTATGAGTGAGAACATGCAGTGTTAGGTTTTCTGCTCCTGTGTTAGTTTGCTGAGAATGATGGTTTCCAGCTTCCTCCGTGTCCCTGCAAAGAACATGAATTCATACTTTTTTAGGGCTGCATAGTATTCCATGGTGTATATGTGAATAGGCACCAACATTTCAAAACATTGCCAAGCAGGAAGGAAACAAAGGAGAAACCCCTCAGTGTCAGAGGGTGAGGGAGAAATCAAGGCTTTCATCGTTATTAGAAGCCCATGCCATATCAGGTTGGAAACTTCTGTGGAATGCTCTCTCAAATGTAGAGACTAGAACCTGTGAGGGAGGTAAACTGAGCCTCCTAAAGCCCAGAGTCTCAAAGTGCATTTGCTTCCTTGTAGACTGGAAAACTTACATGCCTTGGCTCAAGGGAAGTGAAGAAGCAGCTCAGGAGAGTCAAAGAAACCAAAAAGTCCTTCAGGAACTGAAAGATGAATCCGAAACCAATTAGTGAGGTGATGGGAGATGTGAACTCCCTATAAAAACTTGATGTCACAGATGTTCATTAGAGCTTATGCCAAAAAGTAAATGATATGAATTTCAATTAAAAATGTATAAATATTTACAAAAAATGATTATGGCCCCAAACAGGAAGTAATAACATAATCCATATCATCATCTGACAAAACAAACACAAAGAGACAGCTGATATATCCCATGGGTTTTGAATTATAAAACACAATTGTAAAAATTCATAGAGCACTGAAAGCATGGAAATTATGAAATATGTAGAATTAAATGAATTTGAAGCATTATTCACCAAAATTTTTAATATAGCTAAAGTGAGATTAGAAAGAAACTTATAAAGTTAAATGTATGAAAACATGTATGAAATTAAGTGTCAGAAAAAGGACAGAACATTGGACTCAAGTTATAAAAAGTTTTCAAAATGAGAAGAAAATGAAAGTAAAATGAAGAAAAATCAAGATAGAAACAAAAATGTAAAATAGAAAATGAAGACACAGTAAAAGACTGATAAAACCAAAAATGGATTTTTTAAAGGCTAGTAATATAAGCCCACACAAACATGAGAACTTGGTATATACCAGATGTAGCATTTCATGTTAAGCAGATGGTGTAGGACAACTGGCTATCTAGAAGGGGGAAAGGTAAAATAACTTGTCTACACCAAAGTATATATTAAAAAGAAATCTGAATGTATCAACAGCAAACTTAACATTTTTAACTTTTTGGAAGGGAGTCTAGAAAAATACCTTTGCTGCCTTAGGGTAACAAAAAATTATTAAATAAGATCAATAAACTAAACATTATAAGAAATAATATTGATGAATTCAACTTCGCTAAAAGTAAAACTTCTTATTTGAGAAAACACACACGTACACAATTAAAAGATGAACCGCAAACTGCATACGTATTTTTATGTATGTCATAAGCTTATATCAAGAAAAACAGAAATGGCTTACAAAAACATTAAAATAGAGTTCACTCAGAGGGAATGTAAAAGGATGAGTAATAGAAATAACAAAAAGTAATAGGAAAGTTCAACTATTTTTATACTATTACATTTTCATTAAAGCAGTAAGGTAACTATAATAAAGGTTCACATCTGTTAATTCTGTGAGGTAGATGTGGGGATTTTGTTGTAACTTTCTGTACTATTCTATTTGCCAAAGTATTTCATAAGAATTCAGTTCTAGGCTGGGCGCAGTGGCTCACGCCTGTAATCCCAGCACTTTGGGAGGCCGAGGCGGGCGGATCACGAGGTCAGGAGATCGAGACCATCCTGGCTAACACGGTGAAACCCCGTCTCTACTAAAAATACAAAAAATTAGCCAGGCGTGGTGGCGGGCGCCTGTAGTCCCAGCTACTCGGGAGGCTGAGGCAGGAGAATGGCGTGAACCCGGGAGGCGGAGCTTGCAGTGAGCCGAGAAGGTGCCACTGCACTCCAGCCTGGGCGACAGAGCGAGACTCCGTCTCAAAAAAAAAAAAAAAAAAAAAAAGAATTCAGTTCTAGTCACCTGACAACACTGTACTATCTGCTTTGTGGGGACTAAGATGCATGTAGCTGCACTGGGAAGCTAGGGGATCCCTTAGATTGTTGAGGCAGCAGAAAGGGAAGTACAGAGGCTCTGAGGTACAGAAGGGGGGATGATGACGGGTTGGGGTGGTATTTGTGGAGATAAATTCAGGATATGTTTTGCATTTAGAAAAGAGGTGGACTAATAATTAGAAGAAAGCGTGGCAGAACAAAATTGAGGAATACAAAATGAACCTCAGGTTTTGTTTTGAGGGACTGAGTAAAGGTAGTGCCATTTGAGAGATGGGAAAGGCTGGCGGAGGAGCGTGTTTGAAGAAGCAGCTTGAATTGGGGGTCCTTTTTAGCCAGGTCTGCCATCCCTGTTACTCATCTTTGCAGAGATACAGTTGGATTAGAGTTTAGAGTTTAAGAGATAGGTCTAGGTTGAAGATATAAATGTTGGACTTATCTGTGTTGAGATAGTTCCAGCCAAAAGCCTGGATAAGATTACCTAGGGTGAGAGTATACATGGGAGAAAGCCAAAACTACATCTCAAATGCACTGTAATATTTAGAGGCTGAAAAGAAGAAGAAAAGCTGGAGGTGAAGAAGGAGAGTAGGGGGGAAGGAGAAAGAAAATAAAATTGATTAAGCCAGGGAACATAAAAGCTGAAAAGTAAAATTTGGGGGAATAATCAGCTTTTCTAAACACTGATGGGTTAAGTGGGAGGTAATGGATTCTGAGACATGGGGAGTAAGTAGCCTGGACAAGAGCTGAAGTGATGAGAAGGCAAGGCCTCTGAAAATGTTATGCCAGACCTGGCACGGTGGCTCACGCCTGTAATCCCAGAAGTTTGGGAGGTCAAGGCGAGCAAATCACCTGAGGTCAGGAGTTTGAGACCAGCATGGCCAACATGGTGAAACCCCGTCTCTACTAAAAATAAAATTATCCAGGTGTGGTGTTGCGCGCCTGTAATCCCAGCTACTTGGGAGGCTGAGGCACAAGAATCATTTGAACCCAGGAGGCAGAGGCTGCTGTGGGCAGAGATTGTACCACTGCACTCCAGCCTGGGCCACAGAGCAAGACTCTGTGTCAAACAAACACACACCATGTTATGTGCTATCTTTATGCAGATAGGAGTGATCTGTTTCAGAGGGCGAAGTTAATTATTTAGGAAAGATAGTAATTGCTAGGTGAATTCATGAGAAAGTGAGAGTGGACAGGATTCAGAGCACAAAGGACAATGATCCTTGAATCCATTGTTAGAAGTGACAATATTAACATTATAAATGTTGGTTAGTTGGTAGATATCAGTGCATATTGGAGGAATACAAAGAAATTCCTGTTATTGTGGTGATGTGAAAATATCATATTTTTCTTCCGAATTTCTAGCTGCTTTTCCATTGTATACAACTGGGTTGAAAATATGAGAAAGTAAGATCAGAGAACAAAGATTTTGGTATTACCTTTTATCCATCTACTGGAAGTAGATAGATAGCAAAACCTTGTTCTATTCCATTTTTAAAATTTATTTGGTAATATTGTTTTGAATCCAATGTTCTGTGTTTACACCGTCAAATATTATAATAGACTTTTATTGCTAAAGCTTATCATATACATCTTTCAGTTACTGCTACTATCAACTCCCTCGAATCAAGTGTCAAATAATATCACTATAGTGCCTTCAATATCATTTTGTCCTAAGTGCTCCCTGGGCCCAGAGCCAATTTTAAAATGTTTGAGCCCTAGGGAATATTTGAATGTTGAAAGTTCACCATTTCCTCAAGCCCTTACTCAATTTCACTTCACTCTCACTCAATGAGAAATAAACAAACACTATGTTATACATACTAAATTTTACATGGATGAAATTTTACATTTCTTAAAACAATGTGTCTTTTAGGTAGTAATTAAGAGAACAATTTGGCTGTATACTCCAAATCCCCCAATTGTCCTAATTAATTAGATTTATGCTTGGAAAGATACTAATGTTTCTCCTAATACCTTTATAGTGGTATTATATTAGACCCAGAAACAAGATTCATAGCTTTATTTAGTGACTTAGAATTGTGGGACTTCAGAAGCTGAAGAAGATTTAGAGATTTCATTCAACCTTATCTATTCTCAAATGAGGACGTTAAGAAAATTTTAACAAGTTAAGTGACTTGTCAATAATACATAGCTGAGTCAGTGAAAAAGCTGAGATACAAACCCTAATTTCTTATTTAGGCAATCATTTATTCCAACTTATTTTTATTAGTTCATTATGATATGGACTTCAAGTTGTAAATATATTTGCTATTTACCACCTGCCCCTGAGTTTGTAAGTTGTCTGCACTGATATCAGTTGACTTATGTCAGTGCTTCTCAACCATCTCTAATGCAAATGTACTTCTGAAGAGCATAAGGACTTCTCACAGTACTGGAGAATGTAAGACACATCCTAGGAATGGAGGTTAAGCTCTCCAACTCCCATGCTGTACTGTGCTGAGATTCATTGCTCTTTCTTTTGAGAAGAACATTCTCAGGAATTTTAGTTTCTAGCTTTTATTTCAGATATTGTTATAAGATCAAACATACTTTACCAGACTACACATCTGCAATCTACTCTGACAACTGCACATAAACCTCTATCCTACTCCCCAACACACATGCACACAAATACATACGCACATGTGGTGAGTTTCACTTCTGATTTATTCTGATCTCTGATTTAGATTAAAATCTGCAGAGGGTAAACCTAGGCATTTTGGCGTTTTTGCTAAAGAACTGAAGAAAATACCTCTTTCAATTATATACCTAAAATAATGTTGAATATTTAGCATTCAATGAGGTTTTTATTACCTAGTTAGCATTTTCACAATGTGTATTTGATGAAAATTTTTTTAAAAAGATGACCACCTTGTCATTTTTAAATCTTGAAAATCAAATGTATCCATTAACTAATATCTAAGAAATATGGCAGTTTAACCAACCAAACCAAAGCTTTAGAATCAAATTTTCTTCTATATCTATTTTAAATGTAAAATTTAGCTTTAATATTAAATAAAGAAAACAGTTTCTAAATCAATGTTTACTTCACAAAATTACAGATTAATCTACTCAATATTATCCTCAATAGTGTTTTGGTGATTTCATAAACCGTCACAGTTGTAGTTAGATAAATGAATCTACCATAACATCCCTTTAATAATCTGAATATTATATTTTCTAAGTATTAAATTTAAAGCTTCTTATCTGCATTTAATTGTTTGCTCATCAGTTTAACAGTTCAGCGCACAATTTCCAATTTATCACACACAAATTGGAAATAAATAGCTTAGTGGGAGTTTGAGAAAAATAAAAATCTTTAAAAAGAAATGGAATCGTTTGTAAGGTCTTTAATAATTAAATGAACTGAGTCATGATATTAACAGGACATAAATAATCAGAAAAATTCATATAAGAGAGTTGAAAGGAGTGTTAAACTGTCATCTATTTCTTTTTTTCTTTTTCTTTTTTGTTTGAGATGGAGTCTCGCTCTGTCGCCCAGGCTGGAGTGCAGTGGTGCAATCTCCACTCACTGCAACCTTTGCCTCCCCGAATTCAAGCGATTCTCCTGCCTTAGCCTCTGGAGTAGCTGAGATTACAGGCGCCCGCCACCATGCCCGGCTAATTTTTTGTATTTTTAGAAGAGACGGGTTTTCACTGTGTTAGCCAGGATGGGCTTGATCTCCTGACCTCGTGATCCACCGGCCTTGGCCTCCCAAAGTGCTGGGATTACAGGCGTGAGCCACCGTGCCCGGCCATCATCTATTTCTTTTTTTTTTTTTTTTTTTTTTTTTTGAGACGGAGTCTCGCTCTGTCGCCCAGGCTGGAGTGCAGTGGCGGGATCTCGGCTCACTGCAAGCTCCGCCTCCCGGGTTCACGCCATTCTCCTGCCTCAGCCTCCCAAGTAGCTGGGATTACAGGCGCCCGCCACTACGCCCGGCTATTTTTTTTTTGTAGTTTTAGTAGAGACGGGGTTTCACCGTTTTTTAGCCGGGATGGTCTCGATCTCCTGACCTCGTGATCCGCCCGCCTCGGCCTCCCAAAGTGCTGGGATTACAGGCGTGAGCCACCGCGCCCGGCCCATCTATTTCTTAACAACTGTTTCAACCTTTCCTTTTCCATCTCTAGTTGTCAACTTTACTTTCCATCTTGTCAGCTGTCCTAACACTCGCTTCTTCAATAAAGCCTTCCCTGAACCCCTTAGAAAAAATTGCTATCGTTTTAAAGCGTTGTTAATGCTTAGATTTTGGCTTTCTAAAAGTGTATCTTAGGTTTTATTATTTATGTACAAAGAAGTCATTTTTCCTAGAAGATATGTGTTGATGGCAGGGCTTGTGACGTGTTCATTTCACATCATTTACATACTTTCACAGAATATTTATACAAATTTATAAACTATGCAGTGTTTTCAAGTCCCTTGAGTTTCTACCTGGATTGCAACACTCTGTCTTTAGGAACTCCTTTAAACAGAAGTCTTTTCTGTGCGATGTCCACATGTCGTGGTTTCTTAGTTCAACCCCCTAATTAATCATAATAATTGTTAATTATCTAAAGCACTATTTTCCAATAGGACTTTCCTGCAGGGATGGAAATATCTCTGTCATTCAATACTAGCTGCATGGGGCTACTGAGCACCTGAAACATGGCCCATGTGATTTGAAACATTAAAGTCTTTATTTAATTTTAGTTTAATGTTAATGGCTACATTTGTTTTTATGACTACCATACTAGAGAGAACATCTAAAGCACAAATTCCTCATTTTGGGAGGTATTAATAGGTGCTTTGAAAAAAAAATGATTCTCTAGTGAACTTTTTAAAAAATTTGTATAATAATTCCTTTATTAAAGGTATATTTGGAAAGGAGAAATGGAGAGATGTTGGGGCAAAAAAGATTTACTGTTCACCTAAAGATTTACTTTTGACCTAAAAAGGTCTAGAAGCCATGTAGTAAAATTACATGTTTTTATGTGTATATACTGCATATAACATACACATACAATATACACATTAATATACATGTTATGTGTATACACATATATTTTTTCTTTTTTAATTAGCATTTCCCAAAAAATCGCAGCATGAAAATTTCCACCCTGAAAGCAACATAATCAATTTCCACCCTGTAAGCAACATAATCAATCTTTTGGCATCTGTGAATTGCTTTTGTTGTTGTCATTTGTTTGTTTGTTACGACACCATTTCATTTTCTTGTTTCCACTTTCTGTTTAGAAAGGCAACATCTTGACCCAGGGAATAATGTCCAAACTTTTTAGCATGTCTTACAGGCCACCAAAAATAAAATAATAATAACGGCAACTAAATAACCTCTGTTCCAATAAATGTAGTTTCCTCTGCCTGCTCTGAATATTTCTCGTACTTTCTTCTGAATCTTTTCTGTACTATTTTCTTTTTTTCCATTCTAATAAAAGCTGCTCACCCAATTCAGAGTCTTTCTTTTAAAAGACAAAACTTCTCCTTCCTTTAAAATCTAGTCACATTTACTGTCTTTGTAAAAACTCTTCCAGTTCATGAAAACTTGTAGATCTCTTCCTTCTAACAGCGCTCCCATTGTTATCTGAGAATGCACCTTAATCTTGGATTGTTGGTGATTCTTCTATTATTTGGAAGTATGACCTCCCTTACTAGTAGATGACAGCCTTGGGTGAAGGGACCATGCCTTATGTTTCATCTTGTGCCTAATGTGCACTAACCATTGAAGATATGCAATACCTATCTTTGATTTTACAAAAGTAGTCCTAAGTTTCAATGACCTCAAGGAATACTCTCAAGTAATGGCCTATCTTTAAATGTATAGTCTTTTTATTTCATATAGACTTTAAGTGTTTTGCTCTACAAGGTTACTCTTATATTGTTTTTCCTTGAGACAAAAATAGGTGGTCCTGACTATTTTAAATATAATTCTTAAATTTTAATTCTTAATAGCTGCTATGGACTGAATGTTTGTGACACTCACCCCACCCCTGCCCAAATTCCTATATTGAAACCCTAATCCTACAGGTGATGGTATTAGGAGGTGGATATTTAGGAGGTGAGTAGGTCATGAGGGAGGAGCATCATAAATGGGATTAGTGTCTTTATAAAAATACACCCCAGAGAGCTAGCCAACTCCCTCCATCATGTGTAAGCAACCTGTGGTTGCTTACCACAAAAAGGTGCCACCTGTGAGCTAGCAAGCAGGCCCTCATCAGAAATTGAATGTGCTCTTGCCTCGATCTTGGACATCCTAGTCTCCAGAACTGTGAGAAGTAAATTTCTGTTGTTCATAAGCCACCTGGCTTATGGTATTTTATTGTAGCAGCTCAAGTGGACTAAAACAAAAACCAATTCTTATAATTTTATTATCATGAAAAAAAATCACCTCCCTTTTCTGACGTCAGCTAAATAATTCCAATTCCCATTCCTCACTGGTCCTCAAGTCTTTAGCTAAGTGAAATTGCAGCCATTTCAGGAGGATGACTTTGAAGTACACCTAAGGAAATCTTAACACAGAAGACAACTTATTATAAGAAATAGGGGAAGAAAAAGTGAGGAAGTGGGTATCAGTCTCCTCAACATTTGACTCCAAAAATCGTAAGGCTAATCTCATTCCTGTCCATCTGGAAAAAAAAAAAAAAAAGAAAAGAAAAACAAAAGAAATCCAATTTCTTCCTCTTAGGCAAGAATATAGAAACAAAAGATTAGGTTAGTTTTGGAAGATTTTTTTTTTTTTTTTTTTTTGAGACAGGTTTGCACTCTTGTTGCCCGGGCTGAAGTACAACGACACAATCTCGGCTCACCGCAACCTCCACCTCCCAGGTTCAAGTGATTCTCCTGCCTCAGCCTTGGAGGATTCTTAAACCTACAGTTCTGAAGAGTGTTTAGCATGACTTAAGATTTCACACTTGAACCAAAGATCCCTTTGATTGAAATGGCAGCAATATTGTTCATAAAAAGAAAACAGGCAGTCTACAAAACCGAAGAGCCATTAGTTGTTGGAAATTTTACAACCTACAGTTCAAAATATTTCTAGTTTCTGACATCTCCAGGAGATTTACCAAACATCCTCAAGGGAATACACTGATTATTCAGAGAGTTTATAGCCATAGGAAATTAAGTCCAGTGATAAACCATAATGAGAAATGTTTTGTTCAGTGGGATCAAGGGGCCAGCTTTAAAGAAATATCTTAAATATTGCTATATAATGTTATAGTTAAATTTTTCACACATGTTATAAAGAGTTGAATAGTAGTAGAACATACCACCCCAAAATATGTCACTTTAGCATAAGGATTATTTTGAGCTGAAAGTAATTGAAGACAGCAGATACAAGAAAAGCCCTTTGCCAACTTTCTATTTGCCTAAGAGCAAGACATAAATTTGTAAAAGTGTCCTCCCTCCCTACTGACCAGGAAGAAGAGAAGTTACTCACTGCAGACATCTCTAGACCCTTATCAGCCAGGAGATGGTGCCATCGGAGAAATCTACATAACAAACTTTACTAAGCAGCCCTTTTCTCCTTTGGTTCCCCCATATATTTACCTTTCCACAATTTGCTGCCCTGGAAACTCAAAGTTCTTTTTGTTTGTCTTAGCACTGCACTACAAATTTATTGTTCTTTTGTTCAAATGGTCTATAAGCCTAAGTTCTAACCATCTCTTTGAATTACACATCTCTGAGTGCTCCTATCTGTGTGAAGGATGCACATGCTAATAAACTTGTTTTTTTTCTTGTTAATCTGCCCTTTGTTAGTGTAATGTAGAGCCCCAGAAACAGAACTCAAGATGGGTAGAGGAAAAGGAGTTTTTTCATCCTCTACAGAGTAAACACATTTGTTAACATTAATGTTGTAAAAGAGTATAAAGGACATAGACTTTATAAAGCTATCTAAATATCACAGACCTGATCCTACATTTTAATAGTATGTTTTAGTTTTACTAGATAAAATGAGTCATGGGAAGAAAATGAAAGGCCTAGCATTTAAGATTATAATACATTTATATTACAAAATATGAGTATTAACATATAGAAAATAAAATTTGGAAGTCAAGTTTTGAGATTTTTTAGCAAATATATATAAAATATATAATGTATAAGTAATATATATTATAAACATATACAAACTATTTTCATAGTTAATACAATTAAGGTTTTAATAGATATTCTAAGTAAATTAATAGATATAATAATTACTAGTTATGCATTATGTTACAAACTCTAGAAATAATATAAAAGATCATTTTTATCTTATTAATACTTAAAATACAATATAGTATTTTTCTATATATCTGTATATTAATGTAGGGTGATTATACATTAGTGTGTCATATAATAAAATCTTTATTAATTTAGAAATCATTACAAAAGCAAAGATTAAACATTTGGATAAGTAACATAGACTTTAGACAATGAAAGAGCCTTTAAAATCACTGCAGAAGTTTAAGATAAAATATTTGTGTAGAAAATAGTACAAATACTAATTTGTATCTATATTTGAGGAACCTTTTCCTTTTTCCTGACGTTAACCCAGCTCTCCAGCCTCTTACTAATTTCCTTGGCTTGGGCCTGCTTGTCTTTCATTCTGGTGGTATTCTTGAGTTAGTCTTTAGAGGTCTGACAGTTGAAAATTACTTTATGGTGACAGGTCTTTGATTCTAAATTGTAGCTGGGATCGTCACTTGCCTATCTATCTTGGCCTCTGAAAAACCAAACACATCATCCAGATCAAGGGAATTAATTATTCTATTATTTTTCAAACCACTCAATTCTGCTTAGGGAATCCCATTTTAAGCAGGAAATTGATAAACTGTCGTATGTACACCCTAGCTTTCAAATTCATATAAAAAACTGAAGCCGTCAAGTTTAAGATCTCTTAATATTTTTGGCCTCACACCTGCCAAGTCAACTCAGCACGCTGATACCCACTATCTCATACCTCTTTCAAGGCTTAGAAGTGGGGGGGCTTTCAGTGTAGACAGAGCTCATCCCTTTACTGTGTGCTTGGTTCTACTTTGGAGCCTTTCCTCTGATTACCTTCCCCATGCTGGGATTCTTCTATCCTATTCTCTCTTTCCTGTATGTATGTATTCTGGCTATGTTTTTAGAAACTCTAAACATCCTTAGGTCTCTTCTATATTAAAAAGCAGACCACAGTTTCCCACCAAAGAACTAGTTTATTTCCTTTATATAACTTACGAAAATGTCACCATATTTACTTGTTTATGACAGTCTCCTCATATTAGCCCAGGGCTGCTTTGTGTGCAAGTCTAGTTGAAAACACAAGCAAACCTATCTAATGCAAAAATGGCAACTTACAGGCTCGTGTAATTGCAAAGACCTGGGGCAGAACTAGCTTAGGTGCAACTTGAAGTAGGAGAAAAAACAGGACCTGGATCCTGTCTATCACAGTTCTTAGGAGTAGTTCCTTGATGTTAGTTCCCCTGTCATTCACATACATGTTAAAACGGCCACATCTTTATGTAGTCAGTCACTGCATATCTTCCTAATTCCAGGACCAACACCAAAATTTATTGTTCTTCCTTGTGTCTTAAGCAAAAGTCCTAATCATGATTAAATTGTTAGGTTACATGCTTGCTGTTGAACCAATTACTATGGCTGTGGGTGATGAAATATGCTGATTGCCTAAGGACCAGTCACATTCCTACTCCTGACATCTTAGATAGTGACAGTTTGATTCAAAGCAAATTGACTAACATGGGAGAGGAATGAGTCTTCCAAAGCCAAATCAAGGCAATTTTATTGTAGTACCAGAAAGCAGATGATGATCCAGAAAACACTGTAAGCTTTGTAGGGGCAGGGTTCATATCTCTTGTTCCTCATAATATCCCTAGTGTCTAACATAACACCCAGACGAAAGAAAATTCCTGAAATCGCTGAATGAATAATGCATGAGTGCATTTCCATTGTTTCCTACCTCTTATCTCTTCTTCTTCAGCTCCAGACCAGTCCATACATGTGTGTCTCTACCGCAGGTCTGTGTTGATGTTGTATGAGCAAGTTAAAGTCAGCATGTGCAAAGATAAACTGATCATGCCCCTCTCTAAACATTTTCCTGTTTCTATGACTCCTCCATCAATGAATAGCATTGTTGCCTTTGTACATAATCACCAAGACACTGCCATCCTTGACATACTTCCAACATATTCCTTCATCACCAGTTTCTGATAGTTCTGTACCTGCACACCTATTATATCAATTTCCTTCTCCTACTCACACACTGACATCTTATCCTAGTTCTGTTCATTATCTAGGTTCCTTTCTGATTTTCCTTTATCTAATGGCATCCCCTACACAGAGCTTTCAACATGGTTCTTCTGAAAGAAAATCTGAACATGTCAGTTTTCTTTTTAAAACTCTTCAGTGGTTCCACTTTATCCAGAAGTTAAATTCTAAATCCCTGAATGTGGTCTAATATAAGCCTCATCTCTTAACAAATATCAAACCCCCTCTGTGGCTTCAAAAAATTACTTATATTTCTAATGATAAAGTGACATCCTACCCCTATCTTTTGCTCCTATACTTCCTTTTATTTTCTGAGAAATCCCTCACTACATAGCTTCAACACACTTCACAAGAGGCATGTTTGCTCTGAAATATTTGGGCAATTCTATCTTCTCCTTCTCCAAAATATTATTGAAAACTCCCTCCTTGCATTGAATGGTAGGTCTGAATAGATAACATCTATGATTATTTTTTGCCATTTTTTTGATCTCCAGTAAAATCACCCTCAAAAGTAAACATTTCAAAATAATGAAACTAGATGAAACTACCAATTGTGATATGAGATGGTGAGGCAGAAGTGAGGATAAAAAAACCTAAATGCTTTCACATATATGTCTGTTTCTTAACTCCATTTCAAGTTGTCTTAATATCTCTAATTGTATAATAAAGAGATACTGTAAAAATGAAATCTTTACTGTCTTTATGGTTAAAGTCCAATATAAAAGAAAAGTTAAGAAGCAAGAAAGTTTTAATTACAGATATATTTCCTTGCATTTGTCATAGGTTGGGTTTCCCAGGGAACAGATTCTGAGATTCTGAAATTTACATGCAGAGTGCTCTTGAAAGCAACACTTGTGAGGGATAAGGGAGCAGAATTGGGCGGAAGGAGGAATGAGCCTTAGTAGTGTAGTAAGAGAGCTTCTGTCGATTCGACAGAGAGCTCTGGCCCTCGGATGGCCCTTTGGAGATGTCCCAACCTGAGGCAAGGCAGGGAGCTTGAGACTCCTGAAGATGCCAGTTTTTGGGTGTAGTCTGCCCCTGCAGAGGGGTGTGGCCTTGGGGGATATGACTCCTGTTATGGGTGAATTAGTTCTCTCCAAAAGACATGTTGATTTCCTACCTACCTATATTTGTGAATTTAATCTCATTTGAAAATGGGGTCTTACAGTTATAATCAAGTTAAGATGAGATCATACTAGAGTGGGCCCTAATCCAATGACTGATACCCTTACAAAATGGGGAAATTTGGACACCTACACACAGGAAGAAGGCCAAGTGAAGACAGAGGCAGAGATTGGAGTGATGCATCTACAAGTCAAAGATGCCAAGGATTGCTGGCAACCACCAGCAGCTGGGAAGAGGCAAGGAAGTGTTCTACCCTAGAGCCCTCAAAGAGCCTGGCCCTGCCAACACTTTGATTTTGGACTTCCAGCCACCAGAATGTGAGACATACATTTCTGGTGTTTTAAGCCACCTAGTTTGTGGCATTTGCTACGCCAATGCCAGGAAATTAATATGCTTGTTTTGTCTAGCAGCAATTCTTGGAAGATCTCATCTAAGACAGCCTTGACAACAGAGAAGCTGGGGACATGAGTGCCACCCTCTGTAAGTGGAATGAGGGGATGCCCTGTAATATCCTCTATAGCAGCGATTCTGTATATTTTGGCATTCGGACCCAGCCTCTTAATAGTCTTAAAAATTATTGAAGACACCAATCACTTTTGTTCATGTACTTACAATTTTTAAACATAAGAAAAGTTATTTTGAATGCACTTTCTTTGATTATGGAGTAAAATATTAAAATTTCTAATAAGTTTTAGAAAAAATTTAACTTGGAAAAGTGTTTAAAAACAACTTTGAAATATTATAGTAAAATAAGAAAGAAAAGTATATTTACTTGTATTTTGATGTATCTATGAGAAAAACTTCAGTGTTTCAAATATAAAGTTTTGTTAGAGATACGGGTTGTAAAACTATGGCCTGTGGCCAAATCTGGCCTGCTAGAAATGCCCACAAGCTAAGAACGGTGTTTATGTTTTCATATGATTGAAAAAAATTGAAAGAAGAATAATATTTCACGGTACATAAAAACTGTATGACATGAATTTCAGTGTCTATTAATAAAGGATAATTTGAACATAGCCACGCTCATTTGTTTACATATATTCTGTGGTTCCTTTCTGGCTATAATGGCAAAGTTGAGTAGTTGTGACAGACTATATGGCCTAAAAAGCCAAAAATAATTGCCATCTGCCCTTTAACAGAAAAAGTTTCCCAGTCATTGGGGTAGGCATAAGTAAGGTTGCAGCAAGTAAGCACACAATAGAAGTACTGAGAACAAATGAAATTAATCTTTGGAAAATGTATATATTTATACCTAGCACCTTAGAACATTCTAGAAAATGGAATGCACAGACACATTTCACTGATCATCAGAGTGCTATTATCACACATTATGAATCCTTTGGGATCCATCCCCGAGGCTTTCTAGTTAGCAGTTTGAGAACCGCTATTCCACAGTATACATATTGATTTTACCTAAAATATTCAGAATAGCGAAGGAGATTCCTCATAATACAGAATAGGATGAGGATGATGATCTTTGTACTTTGTGTTTTGATCTGTGAGTGTCTGAGTCTTACACTCATTTCCTGTTCAGGTCTGAGAGGAGAATAAAAGCAGCCTTATGGTTTTTGAAGGACTCAATCTTTTTTAGACATCGAGTTTATTTTTATAACATTTCTAAAACTAATGGTACTTCATAAAGTGAGGACATAAACAGATATAAGGGGATTTCTACATATATAATGTCAGTGTGTGTGTGTGTATAATTAGTATTTGATCATAACTGAACATGTTCTAACATGAGAGAATTTTTCACTCTTGGGTAACTATAAGTCAGGATTTATATTTCAGTATACATTAGAGCTGGAATAAATTTTGTATACGATTGAGTGGGATAAATGGGAAGGTTAGAATGTAAAAATACAAACCCATGGTTCTTTCACAAGCTCGACAGTGCAACATGCCATTTATGTTAGCTTTATGTCCTCTCAAAATGGCTTTGATTAATAAGAAGGTAATTTGAGGCTGAGGTCTTTGCCTTTGAACTAAGGAGGTAACCAAAAACCATTGTTAGATTTTTACTTTAGCACAGGAAAGAAGAACAGAAAGAAACTGTAGATCCTTGGATGAAAACAATGGGAAGGCAGAAGTCTGGAGATCCATATGACAAGTCATATTAATGATCTACAATCTGAGACGTGTCCCAGAAGCATACAGAGACCTATGAAAGACATAACTCATTTACAGTACGATTACATGGCAAAGGTGAATAAAAAGCTGCCCTTTTTATGAGCATGTCTTGGCAAATAATCCAATCTCAGATGCCAAAGACTGGAATGCATCAACTCTGTGCATTGACATTTCCTAGAGCAACAGATTGTCCCCAAGCCCATTCCATTGCAGGTCACTCCCAGCATGCATCATCATTCCATGATATGCATCACCCAGGTATCCTCATGTGAGAGGATTCATGCTCAATATTTCTATTTGCAGCTCAATATTTCCATTTCAAAATTACTTCTACTCTTACTCATCAGTTCACAAAAGTAAAAAGAAACATTGAGAATGAATTTAGAAAATTAAGATTTTTTTTTCATGTGAGTGGAGTTGGGGAAGAAAAAACTAATTCTAAAAAAGTGGTGCTCTTATGTTTTGAACTTCAATTCGTGGTTCCCAATCTGACAAATATATCCTCTTCGTACCTTACCTAGCGGAACACAGAGAGGCTTAAAAAATATGTGCATAGCATTCAGATGACATGTGATATTAAAATACCACTACAATAATAATTTTGTATGTCTGCTGTATCTAATGAAAAAATATGTCTATCTTAAATTGATGGCTTACTCAAGATTTAATTTGTACCTAAATATGTGAAAATAATGAATATCGCGTACCTTAAAGATTTATATGCCAACAAAAGTCAGATCATTTCAAAACATTAAATAAGATTTTTCATCCAATTCTGCAAAAATCTCATCTTTTGAATTATATAAGCCTAGATATACACAGTACTTTTAAAGCTAACTTTTTGAAAACCTAATCTGCGAAATCTCCATAAATTCAAATAATCTTTTCGCAACTAAAAAGAACAAAACAAAAATTACATTTTCTCTTCACTTAATGTGTAAAGTGCTCCCAATCTTTTTGTGCCTCGGGCTTTATCAAATTGAAAGCTACAATATAAAATCTAGGAAGAAAAACATTACTAAAACTAACAATATATGTAACCAATTAACAGTAATAATGAGCCATGTTCAACATTTAAAATGATTTTCTTTTGATCAAATAGCTCATATTCTCCTCTGCCATTTCTGTTTAAATCATAGGAGTGGAAGTTTTACTTAAAGCAGATTAAAGGTACATATCTAGCAAAATTTAAAAGACAGATATATTTAATATTGAAAGTCATTCTTGTAATTGCAGCATTACAGCCAGTCTCCGGCATTGTATTAAACCTCAGTCACAGTTCTTCAGTTCCTAAAGCAGAGTTCAAAGGCCCTGGCCCACATCAAATGCTTTAAAACTGTTTGTAAAAATCAGCTGACAGAGACTGTGTTTTGTGTTTTTACAGATTATGATAACTTGATAAGTTCAGGATCTGTTACATAAGCCACAATTCTAACACGAAGGCAAAACAGACCTACATCACTCTTACTCAAAGAAAATATGAGATATTATCCAGGTTGCTTTTTATTATATATATCCTCTTATGTTTATTATAATCCAAGTAAACCACCAAACTCAATATATTTTTTTTTTCCACAAGGCAGGCTGGGTGCTGTTGACAATGTCTGAGCCACTAAGTGGAATTCTCACATATCTTACAGAGACATGAGGCCACTGCTGCTGCTCTTTATTATTATTATTATTATTATTATTATTATTATTATACTTTTAAGTTTTAGGGTACATGTGCACAATGTGCAGGTTAGTTACATATGTATACACGTGTCATGCTGGTGTGCTGCACCCATTAACTCGTCATTTAGCATTAGGTGTATCTCCTAATGCTATCCCTCCCCCCTCCCCCCACCCCACAACAGTCCCCAGAGTGTGATGTTCCCCTTCCTGTGTCCATGTGTTCTCATTGTTCAATTGCCACCTATGAATGAGAACATGCAGTGTTTGGTTTTTTGTCCTTGCAATAGTTTACTGAGAATGATGATTTCCAATTTCATCCATGTCCTTACAAAGGACATGAACTCATCATTTTTTATGGCTGCATAGTATTCCATGGTGTATATGTGCCACATTTTCTTAACCCAGTCTATCATTGTTGGACATTTGTATTGGTTCCAAGTCTTTGCTATTGTGAATAGTGCCGCAATAAACATACGTGTGCATGTGTCTTTATAGCAGCATGATTTATAGTCCTTTGGGTATATACCCAGTAATGGGATGGCTGGGTCAAATAGTATTTCTAGTTCTAGATCCCTGAGGAATCGCCACACTGACTTCCACAATGGTTGAATTTACAAGAAAAAAAACAAACAACCCCATCAAAAAGTGGGCGAAGGACAGGAACAGACACTTCTCAAAAGAAGACATTTATGCAGCCAAAAAAACACATGAAAAAATGCTCACCATCACTGGCCAGAGAAATGCAAATCAAAACCACCATGAGATACCATCTCACACCAGTTAGAACGGCGATCATTAAAAAGTCAGGAAACAACAGGTGCTGGAGAGGATGTGGAGAAACAGGAACGCTTTTACACTGTTGGTGGGACTGTGAACTGCTGCTGCTCTTTCTACACCTTTAAAGAGGCACTCAGCAAGCACCTTTAGAAACCATCTAACTCTATGGCTTTAGGCAACGGGATCTCAAAATCCCGCGACCCGAGACGAATGAGAATAGTTTTGGTATATGAAATCAAGAAAAAAGCAGATTTATATTTTATGTAATCATAAGGTAATATCAAAAATGACAGTAGGATAAGGTAACCACAAATAAGGCCATTTTGAATAAATATTTGGAACGGCAGAGGGAAAGTTTATTAAGTCCTGTTGTCATATTAAATAAAAGCCACGCCCATGTGCTTTATGCAAAATGATTCTATGTTTTATCAAAGTGAAATTCTGAACATCAAGCCTCAGAATTAGTCAAAGTGGCTACAAAACATTTGAACAGACAAGGAACTCTGACAAAGATGAATGGTGCAAGGAGGAGCTGCTTCCAAATTTAGCAGAAAAAAAATTACAGTCACCTTAATGAAGAAAGAGGGTTATGTGCAGAAAACTTGGTAAGGCTGCACACTCACAGCTTCCTTGAACATTCTGCTGGCTGGAAACATGTTTGTCTTAGTCCTAGATTCCACATCATAATTGAAGTTTTTATGGCACTAAAACTTCTAATAAGTACATTTTACAATAATGCGTGTTACAAACTGAGCATACATGTCCTCCTAGAAGTCATATGTTGCAGTCCTAACCCCGCCAACACGATTGTATTTGGAGTAAGGAAGTAATTAAAGTTCCGTGAGTTAATAAGGGTGGGGTCCGGATCAGATACGAATTGTGTAAGATACACGACAGCATTTCCTCTCTTTCTGTCCCGTTCTGCAGGTGCACAAAGAAGTCACATGAGCACACATTGAGAAGAGCAAGCATTTGAACTCCAAAGAGAGAGACCTCACCAGACAAACACTCCTAGCGCCTTGATCTTGAACTTCCAATCGCTAGGGCTGTGAGAAAATAAATTTCTGTTGTTGAAGCCACCCAATCCACAGTACTTTCTTACAGCAACATAAGAAGGCTAAGACTGCATACTGTATGCTGCCACTGCACCTACATACTTCATAGAATGCTACACAGAGATACTCACTAGTTATGTGGCCACAAAAGCAATAATAATCCCATACATGGAAGCTGAGGTGGAAACAGGATAATAAGGAATGAACTACATTGCTTTGGCAACAGATAGCCCAGTGGAATGGAACTGAAGAAGGGATCATGAGAAGTTGTGCATCCTACCGAAGCTTACATCCGCACTGAGAATGCCAGAGAGACTCTGCCTTCCATTCCTGCCATTTCTGTCTGACTGCAGACCTTCATCATTATGCATAGCTTGTGCTTGATAGTTTAATCATAATTGTGTAATTAATAAGAGCAAATATGTATAAATACTATGAGCATTATATAAATTATTTAATCAGCAATTAAGTCAACTTTTACTTAAACTACATAGGACAGACTGTACTCCTCGAATAGGTGTTCTATCTGTCAATGAGTCAGCCACTGCAAGTTTCCATCCACTCGGTTATTCAACATGGAGGGTCTGTAATACTAAACATTTGCAGAAGCACTGGAGTTATTAATTTGTTATTAAGAAACACTTTCCTTCTGAAGAACCCCTAGTGTGGACAGACGCAGAAACAGATAAACCGCAATAGAATGTGATGGCATCACAATTTGTGATGGTAAGTACTATGAAAAGGTGGGAATAAATATTGTGAGTGGCCCGAAGGAGTTACAAATCCTGTCTTCTAGAGTCTACTAGAGTAAGGAGGGCTGCACAGAGGAAACACTGAAGTTCATTCATGAAGGGTCGACAGAATCTGTCCACATGGAGAAGAGGCTGAAGTAGAAGGATTCCAGGGAGGGGGAAGAACTGATGAAAAATTATGAAACTATTAATGTCAATGGCAAATTTGTTGAATGGAGAATGGTTGGGTCTGAATAGAGCTTAAGGGTCATGAAACAGACAGGCAAGTGATAAGTTGTCAAATGAGTATGGGGTCCTTGGGAAAAGGGTAATATACCAAGGTAGGAGTTTGCATTTTTTAAGAGTGGATCATGGAGTTTTTGGCCCGGAAGTAACATGGCCAGATGTATTTTAGAACAATAGCTGTAGCAGCAGTAGAGGGGAAAATGGTGCAAGGAAAGACTCGCATGGGGGTCTCAATTAGGGAACTATTAAAAAGTCAAGAGGGTGAAGTTAAGATCCTGTATGGCAGCAGTCATGGAAGTTTGGTGTTCAAATACTAGAAACAATCACAATCATCCTTTGCACTCCAAAGAGAGCGGTTAGCATCCATTCAAAATCTCAGGCAGTGACACAGCCAACAAGAATGTCGTTTGAATTGCTTTTATTCATTAGATCTAGTTTTACTAAGAAGAATAATATATGCAATAAAATCAAAGTTTTTAATTAACATTTTAAAAATTATTTTATAGATACCTGCCTGTTAGAAGAAGGCTTTGGAAAACAATTTATGGAACATATTTATGAAACAATCATTTTCTCAAAATTCTTTCATGACTTTAAGCCTAAAACCAAAGCTATAAACACAGAGAAAAAGATGACCTGTCTACAAGTGTCTTAAAAAGTATCTTCTTAGGAAAACATTCAGTTCTTGCATAACGAAAAAGAAATAAATAAAACTTTTTTTTTTTTTTTTTCCGAGATGGATTCTCACTCTGTTGCCTAGGCTGGAGTGCAATGGCGTGATCTCCGCTCACTGCAACCTCTGCCTCCCAGGTACAAGCGATTCTCCTGCTTCAGCCTCCCAAGTAGCTGGGACTACAGGTACGTGCCACCACGCCCGGCTAATTTTTGTATTTTTAGTAAAGATGGGGTTTTCACCATGTTGGTCGATCTGGTCTCAAACTCCTGACCTCAAGTGACCCGCCTTGCCTTGGCCTCCCAAAGTGCTGGGATTATAGGTGTGAGCCACTATATCTCCTCATAAGTACAACTTTTATAGAAGAAACGAGCTGCTTCTGTTTGATTTCCATATGTTTTCTATACAACATGTATTTCAAATGGGTACCACACTGAGGGGTGAAAAAAACATATAGACTAATTGATGGTGGTTTTAGAATATGTGTAAATATTATAACTTATGGCTGGAACACTATAAAATAGGGCCAACCATGATCATCTTTTTCAGTTACACAGAAAATATCTTAATATCTAAGTTCTTTTTATGGTGACTAATTTTAGCAACCCAAAATTATTAGCAATATTATTCTGAAAAACGTATCTCATAATTTTTATAGATCCAGATGTTTCACACTGAGACACACAGTAAATATCTATTAGAGAGAATCTTCAATAACTCCGTGTGTATTTTAATAGGATGGGGAGCTGCGTTAAGCTCACATTGCCTGTCCACAGTTGGGCAGGCTGATATATTTTTATTTGCTTATTTAGTGTAAATCTATGCTCCCCTTAATTCTGCTCATACATGTGTGGCATCATTAGGCATATTCACTGAATAATCATTATTTTTGAACTGAGTTCATAACTGGAACGAGAGCAATGACAGAATAAAAATAATCTTTGAACACCCAAAACTTGCAAATTGGCCTTTTATCAGAGGGCTGGAAATAGAATTCTTTTATTTTTCAGGTGGTTAACGGGGTTAATTATGTCTTTTTTCCTTTTTGTTCTGTACCGTTAGTGATAGTTGACACATTAAGACAGAATTATTATCTCAGCAGCATTAATTTTAGTTCCATAATAGTAATAGCTATGATTCATTCAGTGTCTGCTATTCATCAAGCACTGCGTGGAGTATGTCTAATTTATAATTTTTTTAAAAAACAACTCTGATGACAAGTTCTTAGCCCAAATTTTACAGCTGACCAAACTTATGCACAGGAAGATTAAGGTTCAAGGTTACATAGTTAGAGCAAGAATCTGGACTCAAACCCATACCTGATCAATGCAAAGCCCATCATCTTTACACTCTGCCAAGTGCTTCTCTAGAATCCAAAGCTCAAGAGTAAGCAATCTAACATGCTTCCACAGACCCAGATGCTATCCCTGGGTCTATAAAACCTTCCTGAAATACCTCATTTATTATACGTAACTCCCCCCATCAAAGAAAAGTTCCTCAGGAGGAACTTTTCAGCTTCTGTGACTTGTTGCATATCTAATTTTGTTTGTTTTAAAATAACATTTCTCATCCTTATGGCTAAGCTTATATTGCCTCTGCACTCAGCATACACCCTATAGTAGGTCTTGAAGGGCTTACATGAAGGTCTGGTTCTTTCCATTCCTCCATCACTCCAATTTTCCAGATGACAAAATTGAAGCTCAGAGAGAAAATATTTCTCCAAAGTGTTCAATCAATTAGTGGCAGAGCTAAAACTTAGACATGGAAGCTCCTCACTCATCATCCATTCCCCACCGCGTTCCTAAGTGCATTTTTAAATATTAAGTTTCATATGCAAACACCTAAACATTCAATAAGCATTCACTGAGTGCACAGAATTTGCTGAGTTCTGTGCAAAGATCTGTAGAGGCTGAGATGGAGAAGGCAGAGTTCTGTCTTTAAAGAATTCAAATTTAGTCACAGACACTTAAAAAAAATCTGACAAATCATGGCATGTATATGACATTAACACATGTAAGAGAGTCACCAGAAGCTTAATAGCAGATGTGACAACAAAGCTGAATCCCAAAAAACAAACAACAGTTTGTCATGTGAAGCAGGAGAATCCACTCCAAGAAAAAAAAATCAGCATAGAGGATGGTGTGGTTGTTTGAAAGTAATGACTGCAACCAGGCCCTTGGTAGACATGGGCTGGTACTAGAGCGTTAGTATTATACTCAGAACATGGTTGAAGGAGAACACCTTCGAGTAAGATGGGCACTGCGCTCACTATAAAGAAAGTAAATAAATCGGTGTCTCACGCCTCTAATCCCAGCGCTTTAGGAGGCGGAGGCCAAGGTAGGCAGATCACAAGGTCAGGAGTTTGAGACCAGCCTGGCCAATATGTTGAAACCCTGCCTCTACTAAAAATATAAAAATTAGCTGGGCGTGGTGGTGGGTGCCTGTAGTCCCAGCTACTTGGGAGACTGAGGCAGGAGAATCCCTTGAACTCGGGAGGCAGAGGTGGCAGTGAGCTGAGATCGCACCACTGCACTCCAACCTGACGACAGAACAAGACTCCATCTCAAAAATAAATAAACAAATAAATCAATAAATAAGAGGAAATGAACGTGTCAGGAGGAAATAGGGAGTGTGAGCATGCGGTTGAATAAATTCTTTCTTTGGGACTGTTCCAGAAAGGCATGGTTATAAACGTTAGAAAAACAAAAAGGGGTCTATTGTACGATAGCCAGTTTTTCAAATATATAGGTCATTCCTAATTAAACTATATAGACATACAAAATGGGTTTATGATAACAACAGTATCAGATTGCATTCTTTTTAATGTGAATAGAAATTTTAAAAAATAAAAAAAATTAAGAATATTTTTATGGCTGGGGTGATGGCTCACGCCTGTAATCCCAACACTTTGGGAGGCTGAAGCACATGGATCACTTGAGCTCAGGAGTTTGAAAAGTACTTGGAAAACACGGTGAGACCCTGCCTCTACAAAAATTACAAAACTTAGCCAGGTATAAATTGTGCATGCCTGTAGTCCCAGGTGCTTGAGGGGCTGAGGCAGGAGGATCACTTAAGCCCAGGAGGTCAAGGCTACAGTGAGCTGTGATTGCACCACTGCACTCCAGCCTGGGTGACAGAATGAGACACTGTCTCAAATATATATTTATGTGTGTGTGTATATATATATATATCTAAATAGTTTTAGGTTAATAATGTTCTTGTCACTTGTCAGAAATAAGAGGAGACTAGAATCTACTTGGGTGAAGTTTGATTTTTTTACATGTGCATACAGATAAGTAGAGATAGAGAAGTGATTATATTCTCTTCTCTCAACAATTGTACAATGAATTGGAAAGATAAGTGTAAGACAACTAATTAAAGTATAAGACAGTCAATATAATAGAAGATTTCTGAACAGAAGAATGGCAATAAAATGGTGTCTTAATAAGTTCAGTCTAGCAAGTGTAGAATGGATTGAGGGATGAGGGATCACATCTGGAAATGAGGGATCACATCTGGAAATGAGGGAGTCACTTAGAAGGCTACTGCAGTAATCTAGATAAGACCATCAGAACCCGTTTCAACCAAGAACTTTACAACTTCCATCTGACAAATATTTCTTGTCTTATTTGTCAACTGTAGGTCTTAATTTACCCAGCAATGAGAGTGTTTTTGTTTAAAAATCCTGAGTGTGCCTCTGATACATAATAGGGCTCCAGGAAGAAGTTTCATAAGAAAGTAATGTGATGTTGACTGTTTATAATACCATTCTGAATCATTCATTCATTCATTCATACATTTGTTCAACACCTATTTCCTGTCTTCTGTGTGTCTTACACTGGGGAAACAAGAACACATCATAGAGCATGGCATCTGACTACAAAAGGCCTATGAATTGCCATTCAGTTCAGAAAAACTTACACGTAGAAAAATATAAGTACACAGAATGAATGCGGTGAGAGCATAGAGAAGGAAAAAGAGGACTGGATAGGAGAGACATTTCATAATAAAAGAGAAAGCATTCGGTTCAGAAAAGTTCCCCAGTAAAAATTCTTTCAAAATAAATAACATATAATTTAGTAGGAATGCAGCAACATGAGAGGAAGAAAAAAGCTGGAAAAAAAAATCAATGCAAAGGAAATGTTTCTTTCTCCTCTTCAGAATTTATCGTATGTAATTCCCCCCATCAAAGTGATTGCACCAACCCACTATGTCACATCTGGCTATAAGGTTACCCCAAGGGGCAAAAAGTAATATGCAAAGAGCCAGAGTGACAGCTTTTTACCTTAGCCTTCTAAATAGCAACACAATTTCTCCTGACATAGAGGAGTTGAACAAAAACAACAAAAGTAAACAATATCCAATCAATTTATTTCAACATCTGGATGGATGTCAATTAATATTCTGAAAAATGGAATGACAGGGAATATCTTTTCTAATTTGAGACATTAAAAATCAGAACATAGAATTGGATCTCCTGTACATTGTTTCAAAGTCGTATCCTATAGACCTTATGTTGCCTCTTTAAACAAGAAGCACATGAGAAAGACTGTATTCAATAACAGAAGTAGAATGCCATACTTTACCTTGATCATCGTTTTCCTATGTCTCATTACTCGCCAGTGAAAAGCATCCCATTTCTCCATGCACACCATTTGCATGTCCATCTCCAGTGGCTCGATTAGTGGTGGGTTTCTGCCTCCTGGAAGGTCACTCCTCTTCTCATTGTTCCCTGACTAGAGGCCCTGTCCCTTAGCTTCCTCAGGTGATGCTGAACCTACCAATCATGATTTTTATTTTTATTTTTTGCAAAACACCATCCCCTTTGCGGAACACTGTGGCATATTGATATATTCAATTCTGTAAAAACTAGGAGCAGAACATATGATTTTATTATATGTATCCCATATAGAATCACAACCACGAGCACACACGTCTACACACAGAAAACAAGCTGTTTGACGGTTTCTGAGTTTTCTGTTAATATTCATTTGCTGCTTGTTCATTCATTGTATCATCTGCCAGCTCTCACTCGCAGGCAAGAAGGAGTAAGTGCCAAGGGTTTAAGAAAATTGTATAGAAAAAAACTTAAACTGGGGAAATTCGATCCATTTCCTTAATTTGGTTTTAAAAGGCAGTAAGGGAAATCACGGAGCAAAGGTGCAGAATTCAGAAATGGGTGGCCTCTGATTTAGGCTCTAGGGCTAGACACGGGTTTTCTGCAGCCACTCACCCAAAATGTCTATCATGCTCACACTTTTCTCTAACTCATTTGTTAAATAAATACCACATATTTAGTATTTTAATTAAAAAGGAGCAAATCTTGTGAATCTTGACTTCCTACAGCATCAATTGGTGAGACTGACCCTGAAGATCAATAATATGTTATCATTTTTAATATTACACAAATGTAATTAGTGTTATGAGAGTAGGGTATAAGAATAATCATTTATCTCCAGATTGAGATTGGGCCTACTCTACCACCTGGAATATGTTAACTAAATTTAAGTAGCTTCTTCTGGTCACTAAATATAAGTAACACATTAAGGTTCCAAAGGGAATACCAGAAAGTTTCCAGTTTCACTTTACTACATTTTAAAGAGAGATGGCTATCTTGTTATTTTGATATTAATGGATTTGGGAATTTTCTAATGTCTATCAGACAATACCTTGGAAGCTTCCATGACCTTAATTTTTCTATACATTTGTTCCCTTTACTTTGCACTCATATGGCCTATAGCTTTTTTGTAAAATGTGGGGTTTGGCAAGTGCTAAGTGCCTAGCAGGGCCTTATTAAATACTGGATTTATTCACCAATGAAGAATTCTGTTTTTAAAAATATGTGCAATATGCCAAATAATTTGCATTCTATTCATAAATACAGGTGCCAGGATTGAGGAATGGTGTATTCCCTGCTCCCTATTCTCATCATGATTCTTAAATTACAATGAGTTTGTTTTCCCTGACAGTCACTACAAATCACAGAGCCCACTGTACACAGCTTGCATGATCTTTATATATCCCTTTGATGCTTCAACTTTACTTTGCTAACTGTTGCAAAGTATCAACAGAGATTTACGTATGAAGGGCAGATTTCTCCAACTGTTTCTTATGAATCATATAAAATAAATTTTTCCCACCGTAACAGTGGTCGTATGGTAATAAGATAATGCAAATCATAAAATACAATACAGCAATCAAAATAAGTGCAAATAATTAGAGTCAGTTCTAGCATTTGAAAAATGGTCCATTTGGTTTCAGTGAATATATTTCTCCATGTTTAATTCACATCTTCTTTACGTAAGACTAATCGATTAATCAGTCATCATCAATGCTGAAGAACATATTGATGACCTTAAAGTTCTTATCTTAAATGTAGACATACTTATTTTCTTTAGAGACTAATTATTCATTATAACTATAAAGATTTATTGAAAATAAATATTCAGAATTTAATCACAATAATAAAGAAAAGAAGGGAGAGGAAAACTGCCAGCCAACTACCATGCTGAGCACATTAAATGGTTTAACTGATTTAGTCCTAGAATATCAAATACTCTCTTATCCCCATTTCCCGATGAGGAGATAGAGATACAAGATCTAAAGGAAACATTCAAAGAGCTAGCAAATGGAAGAGAAATTCTTAACTGCCATGACTATTGCTTCCCTGAAGATACTTAGAATTTTCTAGACCTTTCTGTCTAGAATTCTAGACCTTTCTGGAAAGATTTAGACCTTTCTTTTAAAAAAAAAAAGTATATAATATTCCAAACAACAAACTGTAAAGTATTTCCTTCTGTATTAAACTTAAGTCCCTCAGCATACATTTATATTTATTTTCTTCTATTATATTTTTAGTGGATAGTCATAGCTGTGTAAGAGATTTTGATAAACTTAAATTCACTTATAAATTTTTTGTGAATTCTTCCAAATATACCATATTTATTTTTTCTTCTGAAGTCCAAAAGAATAATCACTCTACTAAGGATTTCATCAGAATTAGATGTAATGGACAGTCCCACACAGATTTCTATGTATATGATTATTATTTATTGTATTCCTGTAGCAATTTTTTTTTTTTTTTTTGAGATGGAGTCTCACTCTGTCGCCCAAGCTGGAGTGCAGTGGCGCGATCCCGGCTCACTGCAACCTCTGCCTCCCAGGTTCAAGCAATTCTCCTGCCTCAGTCTCCCTAGTAGCTAGGACTAGAGGCACCTGCCACCACATCTGGCTAATTTTTTATTTTTATTTTTTAGTAGAGACAGGGTTTCACAATGTTGGCCAGGCTGGTCTCGAACTCCTGACCTCAGGTGATCTGCCCACCTCGGTCTCCCAAAGTGCTGGGATTACAGGTGTGAGCCACCGCACCCAGCCTCCTGTAGCACTTTTATGCCTCTTACTACAGTATTAGCTAATGACTCCAGGACTCTTTTAACCCAAGACCATTTTTTAAAAAAATGTTGTTAGTTATCCTGTGCTAACTTGTATTAGAGCTACTTGTATACTGACATTTTTATTTTCCTACAATAGCTTTCCTACTGGAATTCAGGATCTGGACTCTGCAGTGGGCTCAGACATAAGCTCCTTTATTATAAGCAGTGTGATCTTGGCAGGTAGATCACTTAAGGTCCATGTCTCAGTGTCCTGATCTGTTCAGTAAGATTTGCACTGGAACCAACCTCATACAGTTGCTGTCAGAGTGAACATATACGAAGACTTAAAAGAATAATCTGCACAGGAAAGGCATTACGTATGTATTGGCTGCTACTTCCAATACTTCCACTACTAATATTACTATACCATTTTCTGTGAAGCTATCTTAAAACTGTCCCATTCTCAAGCCCCCTCAATTTTCCTCTAATCTCTCAGTCTCAGTAGGTGACGCAGGTTTCTTCAATGTTCCAGAGAAAATGGGGGCCTTTGGGACCAAAACCTTCTCAACTTCTCACCACATTCCTCTCAAACTACTAAGGGACTTTATGTCCTTCTTTTTCTCCCATCACAGAGGAGAAAGTCCTCTACTAGTCTTTCTAGTACTTCCTTTACATTTTCTCTTCAACCTTATTTTAAAAGAAATGAAATGAAACCTTATTTTAAAAGAAAAGAAATAACTTACAGGAGAGTAAATTATTGCTTTCCATCTCTACAGCCAGGGTTCTTGAGATGGAACAAGAATCTATACTTTCCTCCTCCACCTCTTTCTTTTCATTCCCCCTTAGCTACCAGGGTTTGACGTCCTCTCCAGCCGTTTCCCAAAGCTGCTCAGGGAAGAACCCATCATGTCTTAGCTGTTCATATTTGATGGGGATTTCTTGTTCTTTATCACAGTGAACCTCTTGTTACATGTAACGTGGCTTAACCACATTCTTCTTTTTATAACGCTTGCTTCTCAGTTTCCATGACATCATGGCTGTCCTGTTTTTCTCTTCCCATCTCTTTTACTTGACTCTCTTTCTCCTCACACTTAAATATTAATATCTTCAAAGTTCTCTAATTTTTCTTTTCAATTTTACATAGCCTCTCAGTTTTATCTTTAAGCTGATGTTACAGATCTCTTTTCTTAATCTGATCTATGTATTTAATTACACAATGAACATCACTGAATCTTATAAAATCGAACTCCTGATACCTTTAAAACCCATTTTTGGTTCTCCATTCCTAATATTGCCACTAAGGGAGGCAGATGATAAGGCAAAAAGAGCAAAAGATTGGGATTCGGGCTGACTCTAATTCAATCTGGCTCCGATCTACGCTGGCATAGGATCTTAGTGCAGATACTTGTCCTTTCTGAGCCTCAGTTTTGTCTCTAATTGGATATAATGACATCGACTACATAAGATCCTGATGAGGATGAAATGAGACAGTGTTTGAAAGGGACATAAAACACTGTTCAGAACTTAATAGAAATCAGCGAGTATCTTTTCTTTTCAGTTAGAACAGGCTTTTTAAAAAATTTCGTCTAGAGTAAAACAATGGCTTCCTAACTGGCCCCTGCCTCCACTCTCCTGTCCTGTCCCATCCTGGCTTCACACTGTAGCTAGACATCGTTCTCAACACGAATTTTATCACATCACTTGCTTACATGGAATTTCCCATGGACCCCACAGTGCCTAATGGGTTAGGTAAATGCTCCTCACCTTTTAACCCCTGGTCCTTCATGACTCCTGTCCCAGGATCTTGTCCTCTTTGACCTCCATAGGCCTCATGATCGATTGCTAAAAGCCATGCATTCTCTCAGGCTACTTTTTTTTTTTTTTTTTAACATCTGTTCTTCCCTCTTCACTTAGCTTCTGCTTGTCCACCTAGAAAATTTCTAGTAATCCTTGTAAGATTCAGCTCACATGTGTTTCCTTTCTGATATTTTTCCTGAGATAGCAGAATTACTTCTCCACTGTGTTCCCATCCTACCTTGCACAACCTCAGTTTCTATTTCATTAGATTGTCATCATTCATATTCATATATCATCTCAACTATCGGTCTTATTACATCATGTCTTCCCATCCTTGGTAGAAAGTAGGCACCCCCTAACTATTTCCTAAATGAATTAGTGAAAAAACAATGATCCCAGTCAGCTCCCATTAGATTGTAAGTGCACGATGAATATATCTGTATCTCCTGCATCACGTAGCACTTGTATCTCTAAATACTGCCCGACACTTACTGATTTCTAATTATGTACCAGGTATAGGTTTAAGCACTTCAATCCATTCATTTAATCTTCTCAATAACTTTAAAAGGCAGGTACCAGCAAAGAGAAATTTGATAAATTTACTCAGGTGGAACAGCTTGGATTGAAATGCAGTCAGTTGACTCTAGAGCATGAACTTTTAACTACTATACAATATTCTGATATGACTATAGAAAGTATAGAGTATTTCAACAAAAGCAAATATTTTAAAAGCTATGAATATATATGTGTTATATAAGTATATATGTGTTGTATGAGTATATATGTGTTATGATTTTCCTTTTGATCATAACACATACATACTCATACAACACATATCTAAGACATTTTTTAGTTCCAGATGGAATGATTTGGGTTATCTCACCAACTTTAAATCCTTCCTTTTATATAGAGCCTCCAAGGAATCAAATAGTTGGCAATATATTAACTGCAGGATTTAAATTATACAGTGTAGTTTAACAAAAAGAAGTTAATTGAAAAAGTTTTAAGAAAATCATGTTCTTTTCCAGTAAACGTTGCTACCTGGGACAAAGACTAGCTGGCGGGTTTATGGAGAATAAGGTTTCTCTAAAGTAAGCTGGGATTTGCTGTAAATAATATATGCACCTACCATGCTACCCCTTAATTCTTTTATGGTCTGCATAAATATAATGAGACTTCTGATTAAATTTCTTTGGAATTGTACTCTCTTATATTACCCTTTTAAAAGCTTCTTTTAAAAACCCCATGGGAAAATATATTTCCTTGATAACCTATTTAAATAATATAGTAGGACCTTTTTACAGTGAACTTACTTTTTTTTGTTATCTGTTAGTCTCCTTTATGTTGAAATAAGTATTTCAACGTAGCTGTGAGTTCATTCTACAACTCTCCAAAAAGAATACTTTGTATTGTTTGTTCAAAACACAAATCAAACAAAATCTTTGTATTCATTTATAATAAAAAACATGAAAGCTTGTTCAATTAACAAAAAAATAAAAATAGCATGCACTAATTCTTACAGATATTTACATAAGAAAGGCAAGTCTATGTACTTCTAATACTGCTGGCAATAACTGTTTCTTCCAAGATCTACACATCCTGTGGACATTTGGAAAACAATAAACTGTTGCCTTTGGTTGGCCAGTTTCTCTTCTAAATGTACTCTCTGCCAAGGAAGATAACGTAAGATGTAATAAATCTAAAATTTTACTCATAGTCATCTAAATTCAGTCAAACTGTTAGAAAAGAAATGCTTCTATCTTACACAATTTAAGAAATAATTCCTCATACTAAGCTATCATTTCAAATATTTCAAACATTTTAATTCATTTGCTTACTAAGTTTCCCAGAGATGATATATTTATTGAACCTACTGATGAACAGCCTATGGACCGAAAATTTTTTGAAGCTGAGGCAATCAACTTATTATTTAAAATAATGTTGTTCTCAGGACTCAATTGGTGCACCATGACAACAGTAACCAATTCATTGGTTAGTATATCATGTCAAATGATTTTAAAGAACGACTTCAGCAAAATATTTTATCATGATGTGCAATTTAAACATTTACCAAATGCCTTTTATGATCTAGGAACTCTGCTTAGGGGTAAGATAGAGAACCTCCAGAAATTGCATTTTAGCGGGAGAAGAAGACAGTCCATTCCCTTACGGTCCTTCTCGTTGGAATCTAGACAAAGAAATCTAATAAAGAGTTTAATTATCAATTTACTACCTATATTGAGATAGGCTTATGGATTTGTTGGCTGTCAAAACAAAGAATGACAAATGATTCGGAGCAGAATCAACCTAATATCTGCCAGTTTAGGGCCTTCTTAGGACCCAGGACTCACATGCCTCCAGTTTCTATGAATTGTTAAGAAAGTTTGTTATTGCCTTGCTAGTAGTATGAATTTATTCAGTGAGATATCTACATCATACTTTCTATAATGATAAACACTTCAATAATTGTAGCCACATGTTGTATACCAAGAGAAGCAATAATCCTGACAAACGTGTGAATCTTGCAACAATTTCTTAACCTGAGCTAACTTTCAATTCATTTCCCAGTGATAAATTGTGATTTACACAATGTTCTCTTTCTTATCTGAATCTTTCCCTGAGTATCTTCCAGGGCAGTGGCACTGGCATGCGTAGACACAAGCCTGTTGGGAGTCACACCTACCCCTCACCAAAGAGTCAAGCTAGCATTTCTCAATGTTCTTCCCAGATGCCCCTGGACTATAGAAGTAGGACCTTTGACTGAGTTCAAGCCTCACTCTGAGCTAAATAAACCAGGAAGATGGTTACTTCTGCTTAGGTGCCCCTAATTTCTCCTTAGTTAGTATAGGGATTGTATACAGGTCAATTGTTAAGCATGTCTCCTCTATCAGACTCTGTGCTATGTGCCCTGAGAGTAATAGATGCTTGTGCTATTTTCCAGAAACAGTCCCCAAATCTCAGTGAGCCTGGTTTTAGTTTTACACCTGGCCTTCTCGATTTGGCAGCAGAAACACTTTTCCCATTGACTAGATAAGTTTATGATTAATCTCTTGTTTAACATATATGCCAGATAAAGCAAACAACCAACCAAAAGATGAAAACAAGTCCTCAGTGAAAGTGATATTTTCAGATTAGTATATATTTGTATAAATAGAGAATGGTAAAGGTTTCTGTTTATCAGCCATCTCTGAAGTAGCAGCAAAAAGAAGAGGGCTCTTTGATGTGGGATTCTACAAAAGCCACGATCTCTAGGTGGGGTGGCTCTCACCTGTAATTGCAGCTACTCAGGAGGCTGAGGCAGGAGGATTGCTTGAGCCCAGGAGTTCAAGGCCAGCCTGGGCAACATAGTGAGATGCCATCTTTTAAAAAGTTTGTAAAACACTAGCCGGGCATGGTGGTACACACTTTTAGTCCCAGCTACTCAGGAGGCTGAGGCAGGAGGATCACTTGAGCTCAAGGAGGTCGAGGCTGCAGTGAGCTGTGATCTCGGCACTGCACTCCAGCCTGGGATATAGATCAAGACCGTCTCTAAAATAAATAAAAATAAACAAAATTAAAAAGCCAGGCTATAGTTACCTTACTCCTTCTATCTATTCTCCAGGTAAGAACCAAAGAAATTTCTGGTAAAGATGCAACTTAGATTATTTTACTCCTTGGAAAGCTCTCCAAAGGCTTCTCATCTCACTCAGGCCCTACATGACTTTGGCCCCTATCACATCCTTGACTCTAACCACATTATTCTCATCACTGCTATTTCCTTTATCCGAAAAGTTCTTCCTATCGATGTTCATGTGGTTCGGCCCATCGCTTTCTTCCAGTATTCATTCCAATGCTCCCAATTTCCTTTTCCTGCTTGTTTTTTTTCAATAGCACTCATTACAATTTAACATGGCACCTATTTTACTTATTTTTTGTCATCTCTCCCCACTAGAACAGAAGCACCCCAAAGGTATGTATTTTTGTCTCCTTTGTTCACAGATACAGTCAAGCACACTGTAAATATTAAACCTCATGTTCAATGAATGAGTATATAATTACTTTACTGCAAAATAATTCACTTCTCTCTAGCACTCAGTCTAAAGCTGCCACTGTTACTACCTCTGTCTTTATTAGCATGAGGTTTGATCCTCATGGCTTCAACTTGGGTGATGTCCCTCTAGGTGATGCATCTGTGTTCCAGGAATGAGTTTAATCCCTGAGCAGGAACAGAAGCAAGGAAACCAGTTAGAGCACTACTGCAATAATCTGTGGGAGAGATAATTGGCTTAAGCCATGTGCTCATACATGGATAAACGTGGTGATGAGAACTGCTTCTAATTGATCCTATTTCTCAATAAGTTAAGCCACAATGTTCTCAACTAAGAATGGAAATTAGGGAGAAGGTGGCTAGAGGTTTGGAAAGAAGGGAGTTTGGCTTGTGACCTTGTATGGTCATATAAGAATGTTTAAAATTCATAAACAGATATGTAGTATGATTTTGGCAGAGCACCGTGTACCCATTTGATGTGATGATCTTGATTTTTTTTTTTCTTTAGACAGAGTCTCACTCTGTCAGCCAGGCTGGAGTGCAGCGGCACAATCTCAGCTCACTGCAACCTCCGTCTCCCAGGCTCAAGCAATTCTCCTACCTCAGCCTCCCTAGTAGCTGGGATTACAGGCTTGTGCCACTACACCTGGCTAATTTTTGTATTTTTAGTAGAGAAGGGGTTTCACTGTGTTGGCCAGGCTGGTCTCCAACTCCTGACCTCAGGTAATCCGCCCGTCTCGGCTTCCCAAAGTGCTGGGATTATAGGCATGAGCCACCGCGCACAGCCAATCTTGAATTTTTTTTTGAAAAATCCAATTAGCATAGCCTTGTGTCAGCCGCATGGGTGAAGGCATAGATAGAGTTGAATTTAACCTTAACATTTGGCCTCGCAGATTCCAGGAAGTGTGTAAGGGGTGAAGGAGTCGATAGTGCAAGCATTAGAGTGATTACAGTGATTAGATGAGTCCTTTAAGCCAGGTAGGGGAAAAAAAAAAAATAGAGGAAGGGTGAAAGGTGTTAGAATTAAAGACTGTGAGTTCCCAGAGAGTGAAAGCATTACTGGACTACAGGAAGTCACGGTTGGGGTGGCAGAATTGTAATTGAGACAACTGAGTAATTCTCACTTTGGTAACAACAAAGTCAAGGTATGAATGTGACTGATATGTGATTAAGGCACTGAAAGATTCAGGAGATTTAAAAAATTGTCTAGACTGATATGAAATCACCAAGAATTATGACTAGAGAAAGGTATGGTGACAGTAATCCAAGAGATAAATATTCCAAAAATGAGGAATTAAGAGTGAAGGAAGGCGCTGATGACAGAGGATCAATCAGCACAAGGGAATTCCTTGGGCGTTGGAACCGTTCTGTATCTTGTTTGTGGTGGCGGTTACAAAAAAGTGATTTTAGCTGGGCACATTGTTCTGCTGAATAACTCTTTGTAAGAAAGAAGGAGAATGGATATTGCATAGTCAATTTACAGCCTTTTCCATAAATGCCAGTTATGTGGCCTCAAAATAGACAACTGGTGTTTTACAAACTGCATTATAAGGAACACTGATGTCTTAAAGTACCTTAATAGGTATTCCATCAATAAGGGATTCCATGATCACTGAGGTTCAGGAAATCTTGAGTTAACAAAACTTAATCTGGTATATTTATATCAGGACTTCTCACAGTCTTTAATATTTTAATGTGCAGTGTGAATCACCAAAAAAGAGATTTCAGTATGTAGTTTCCAAATTTCATTGACCATTTCAATTTTTTATTTAAGAACAATTATTATAACATCCGTTATATGCTAGATTTCCTCAAAACATAATTTGGGCCAGGCTGTTGAAGACAGTATCCAATGTTCTCAAGGGCATGAGGGGTGGGGTGTGCATGTCCATTGGTTGCTGATGAGGATGTAAATTAGTAAAATAATCACTCTATTTTAGGATGCAAACTTTTTCCTTAGGATTTTATTCTAAGGAAATTATGACCATATACAAGGAACTAACTATAAACATGTTCATGGAAGAATGTGGTAAAAAATATCAGAAATAAAATGAATGCATAATAATAGATTACTGCTTAAGTTAATTATGGTGAGTCTATACACATAGTGGGAATCTGCAAAGGTATTTAATGTGTTGCAGTAACAAAATGTGCAATGAATGGAAAATACATTGGTGAATAAACAAAAGCAGGTTATTAAAATGATGCACAGTATAGGGTCTGTGTTTGCTTTAAAAACATGGATGTGTGTATTATATGTTTGATGAAACAAAAAGCACAAAAGAAATATACTGAAGACTGTTATATCTTCATGGTGGGATTATGAGTGAATTGATTTATCACCTGCAAATTATTTACCAAATTTCTGCGGCAATCACACAACATGTAATATTTAAAGAATGGTTCAATTCTTTGTGTGTGTGTGTGTGCAGAATTTTTGTTGATTATAATTTCCCCTGAATACAATGCTCATAACTGTTGCTTCAATTGTACTACAAAGATTGAGTTAATATTTTGGAGACTAATCAAAGGATTGGTAATCTTCTTTCTCAATTATTTATATATAAGATATGCTATATTACAAAAATGGTTAGTCATACCATGAAATTACCTTAAACTACTTTCAAAAGTGTTCCAACATAATCTAGTAATGCTATTAACTTTTATTTTTAATCATCACTTAAATCAAGGGCTTATGGAGAACTGTCAGAATTACACTGTAAAAAATGGAATACCTCCAGGTTATTTTAGCTATTAATAATTTTGAAATATTTTATGCCAGAGCAGAGCCATTTCCTTGTTCAGAGTCTCTGCTGAGCATTAGTCATTAGATATGGAGCAGTTCTCAAACATTCATTCACAAACTTTCTTCAAACCACGTATACTTTTCCTCTTTTAATAAGGGATCTAAATATCCCAATGATTTTCGCAAGAAAATGTGGATTTGTTAGGTAAGATCTGAGTCATATTTTAATACCAAAAAAAACCCAATTATGTGAAGATTTGTTGTGCTATATTTTTAACTGGAGTTTCACATGGCTCTGAAAATGCCCACACCACACTTCATGCCAAAGATAAATTTAAAAACTGCCTTAGGACCCATGCATGCAGCCAAATGTGGACATACAGTCAAAAAAGATAGTACTAGTGTTTTTATCATTGACATTTTACTTCAAATGGAAAGAAATTTCCATTTTGAGAGAAAGGTGTAATTGACAAATTTGGGCAACCTCATACTTTTCTATCTCTGGTCTTGGCATAACTAAATCCTATATATGAATGTAGTATCTGTAGGCAAAATTAATTGTCTAAACTCTCTTAAAATTAAAGAACTAAATATAACTTTGATACCACCACTTCCAAGAGAGATTTTTAGAGCTGAAGTAGCTAAACCTCAGATAGAGTCAGTAACTGTGCAAAGGTAGGCAGCTTTTATTGACACGTATAGTAGGGAAATCCCTGATAGTCTTGCAATTTTTACTTTTTATTTTTACTGTCAGAGATTAATATAGAATTATCATACTTATTGCAAAGAAATTATATAGCTAAACACTTGGAATGTGAACAGTATGCCTGTCTTGGGTTTCATTTTATGTGTTCCCTGCGTTGCTGTATCTCTGTTGCAGCAAAAGAACAAGAACAGAGAATAGAACTTTGACCTTCATTGGAAAATGCTATGAATATGAACACAATACATTACATTTCGGACCAAAAATTGTATTGTCTTTAGATCATCTTAATTCATATTTGAGCTTCATTCACATAATAAACAATTCTAGACAAAGTATATTTAAAGATTTTCTAATAGTCTTCATTTGAAAAATTTGTATGCTGCGGACAGGTATTTCTTAAAATGTACTTCACTCATTCTGATACCTGCAACGTATCCAGACAAGTGAGAATGTACAGACATGGCTTTCAGTTCCAAGTCCTCTAATATATTTCCAACACAGTAACCCAAATGATCTTTCTACAATGCAGGTCTAACCGTGTCACTCTTTAAAAGTTCCAGGGTTGCATTATGGCCCACTGAATAAAATCCACAATCTCTTTAGTATGTCCCTCTCACCTAAACTGCCAGGCACATCTTTATCTCCCTGCACTCCTTCCCTTTAATCTAGCAATACAGTTGACCCTTGAACAACATGGCTTTTAATGGCACAGTTCCATTTATATGTGAATTTTTTTTTCAATTAATTATTGCTATATACTTTGGAGACTCACAACCATTTGAAAAAAAACTATGAATTGCATAGCCTAGAAATATTGAGAAAAAAATTTTAAAAGTATGTCTTGAATGCATAAAAGGTACGTAGATATTAGTCTATTTTATCATTTACTACCATAAAATATACACAAATATTATAAAAAGGTAATATTTATCAAAGCTTAAACACTTATAAGTCATACATAGTGCCACTTGCAGTTGAAGGAAATGTAAACAAACTCTAAAGATACAGTATTAAATCATAAGTGCATACAATTAATGTAGTCCATACTGTACTACCGTCATCACTTCCCAGCCACCTCCTCTTGCTGTTGAGGTGAGCTCAAGTTTTGCGAGTATTCGTCTGACGTGCCTTGAGATGTTAATCATCTCTGCGTCAGCCAGTACCCTCTCCAGTAAATTGTGGATCAGAGTAAAAAGTGATCTCTCACGGTTCTCTTGTATTTTTCATCATGTTTAGAGAAATATCGTTAGGCTTGAGTAACACCATGGGGACCATACAAAATGCCACTCGTGATGCTGGGAGTGCTCCCAAGAAGTAAAGTCATGACATTACAAGAAAAAGTTGAATTTCTTTGATGTGTACTGTAGATTGAGGTCTGCAGCTTAGGTTGCCACCATTTCAAGATAAATGAATCTGGTGTAAGGACCGTTGTACATAAAGGAATGGAACCTGTGAAGCCATAGCTGCAACTACACCAGCAGTCGCAAAAACCTTGCACTTTTTGTGAAATACCTTTTTGTCTCATATTGAAAATGCAGCTTTTACATGGGTACAGGATTGTCATAAGAAAGACACAGCTACAGATTATAATATGACTGACAAAAAAGAAAAATCATTAGATGACAATGTAAATCAAAAGGAAGGTGAAGGATTTAAAGCTAGAGATGTTAATACTGGCAAAGTGTGGTTTGATACTTGCAGAAAGAGGCTTTAAAAATGTCAAGATAACAGGAGAAGCAACGTCTGCTGACCACGAAGCAGCAGAGAGGTTTCCAGGTCCCATTAAGAAAATCCCTGAGAAGAAAGGATATCTGTCTGAACAGGTTTTTAATGCAGATGAAAGTGCCCTATTCTGGAGAACAAAAAAGGACATTAATCAGAAAACAGGAGAAGTGAGCACAGGATTTGAAGCAGGGAAAGGTAGGCTAACTCTACTGTTTTGTGGCAGATGCAGTCGGGTTAATGATCAGGACTGCCCTTATCTATAAACCTGCTAACCCCAACCCTTGAAGGAAAAAGATAAATCCCAGCTGCCAATCCTTTGGTTGTGCAGCAAGAAGGCCTGAGCAATGAGAACCCTTTTTCTGGATTAGTTCCATCAATGCTTTGTTGCTGAAGTCAGGAAGTATCTTGCCCATAAAGGACTACTTTTTAAAATTCTTTTGATATTGGAAAATTCCCCCTAGTCACACAGAGCACCATGAGTTCAACCTTGAAGGGGCTGAAGTGGTCTACTTGCCCCAATAGCTCTAATTCAGCCTCTAGATGGGGGACATAAGGACCTTTAAGGCTCATTACACCGCAGTATTCTATGGAAATGACTGCTAATACTATGGAAGAGAACCCCAATAGAGTATACCATAGAAATCTGGGAGAATTACACTACTGAAGATGCCACCATTGTTATGGAAAAAGCCATAAAAGCCATCAAGCTGACAACAATTCATTCCTGCTGGAGAAAACTATGTTCAGACGTTGTGCATGATTTTACAAGATTTACAACAGAGCCAATCAAGAAAATCACATAAAAGACCGTGAATGTGGTTTAAAAAAAATGGCAGCAGGTTGGGGGGGTATAAAAGGGTTTCAAGATATGGATCTTAGAGAAATTCAAGAGCTCATGGACACCACACCAGAAGAATTAACAATGACTTGATGAAGAGAAATGCTTCCAAACCAGTGCCAGACAATGAAGACGACGACGTAGAAGAAGCTATGCCAGAAAACAAATTGACACTAGACAATCTGGCAGAAGGCTTCTGATTATTCGAGATCGCTTTAAACTTATTTTATGACCTGGAACTTTCTATGACATGGGCAATGAAACTAATGCAAATGGTAGAAGAAGGACTGGAACCATATAAAAACATTTTTAGAGAAATGAAAGAGCAAAAATGTCAGGCAGAAATTACAGCGCATTTCCAGAAAGTTACACCAAGTGTGCCTGCCTCTTCTGCCTTCCCTCTTACCTGCTCCACCTCTCCCACCTCCACCACCCCGAAACAGCAAGACCAACCCCTCCTCTTCCTCTTCCGATTACTCAAAGTGAGGATGATGCAGATGAGGACCTTTATGATGATCCACTTCCACTTAACGAAAAGTAATGCATTTTCTCTTCCTTATGATTTTCCTAATGCTTTCTTTTCTAGCTTACTTTATTGTAAGATTACAGTATATAATACATATAACATACAAAATATGTGTTAATCTATTTATGTTTAGTAAGATTTCCAGTCAACAGTAGGCTGTTAGTAGTTAAGTTTTGGGGGAGTCAAAATTATCGATGGATTTATACATGGGGAGGTCATCACCCCTAACCTCCCTATTGTTCAAGGGTTATCTGCACTGCATTTCTGGAAAGACTATCAGCTATTTTCCCAGAGCAGTCTGTGCTGATTATCACTACACCAGGACATTATCATATTCTGTTTACTCTTCGCCTCTGAAACTAGACTCCAGGTTCCTTATTGGGAGAAAACAAGCGGCATTTGTCCTTATATCTCCAGGGCTTTGCATAGTGTTTCAGAGTAACTGCAAGTCAAAAAGTGTATATTGAAATATGTATATTTTTAAAAAGTAAATTGTGACTACAAAAATACATTAGAGTTTCTGTTTATTTTGTCAAACAGATTTGTATCAGGAATCTAGAAATTCCAAACCCTTTGGCATGTTAAGCCATGTCCATACATCTAACTGTGCTTAACCAAATAATTAGCTAACACACTGATCAATAGTTCTCATTTCCAAATTTTATTATAGACAGGAATTGTCATCTGTGGTTCTTGTTAAAACACAAATCTCCCCAACCCCACCCTAAGATTATGATGCGGTGTTTGTGGTAGAGCAGTCATTGAAAAAAACAAAAGCTGAGAAATAACTTATGTTTTCTGTGATGGCCTACATTCCTGCAATTACAATAGCACCCCTCCAAGCATGTAGGTGTTAGAAAAATGAGATTCTCTGTTGTTTTATGCACTAAAAGCCATTTTTTTCAAACTACACTCCTTATTGCAATTAAAATGTTGGTTGCCAACAGGTTGAAAAAAATTTTTTTTCTGTATTGATTTATTGCTTCTGCACCTCATTCATCCTATTGCTTATCAATCTCATTACTTTAGTCAACATGATCAAACTGAGCTGTGCTTATGAAGAGAACCACTGGTTAGCTAGTCCACAGTCATATTATGTAAATAAGCATGTACTGTTGGTATTTGGATATAATCTTCCCATTTATCTTAGATCTACAGACAGGATAATGTATAGAAGAAGCTGAAGAAAAATACATTACCCAACTTCTTTTTCTCTTTTTATTTCTGTGATTTCAAATTATTCAAACTGTTCAGGTTATTAAACAGTGAATCCAGTTGACTTAAAAATATAGAAATATGCCACACAGACTCTTATAGAAAGCTCTTTAAGAGCTTCTATTATCTACTGAAGTACTAATGCACTCCCTTAATTGTGCCTGCTGGGTGATCAGGCACAACTGGCAGAGGCATTCAGGCCCACACAGAAATGCAAGGCTGCGAAAAGGACATTCGCTCAGCAAGAAAGGTTGCAGAAGCCCTTTGACAAATGAGACAAAGCAAGTCAAGTAATAATAGAAGGACTTTTTGAACATTTTCAGTAATTTGGTTATAACTAACTCTAGAGTGCATTAGCAGAAGATTCTTAATCAGACCCTACTTTTCCATTAGAGAGACTAATTACTGTGTGTCTTTTACTGGCAGATTTATTTTTCCTCCATAAAAATGCTTAGCAAATATAAACTAATTTGTTTGAATTTCCCTTTGTCCATATCTCTGTTTCCTGAGAGGGCCTGATACTGTCACATGAGAGACTACACACACAGAGGGCACTGTTTCCTAAATAATCCTCATTCTGCTAGCAACCGATTAAACCAAATCCACATTAACATGAGATCAACTCCCATCCCTCAAATGTAGTGTCTGCTGTAAAGTCTTGTTTTTACAAGTCTGGTTGAATTCCGCTATCTTAATTCCATTTCTTTTAGAAAAATTACTTTCATTCTGAGTGATTTACTTTCCTCTTGCTGAATATATCTGTTGCTTAGGCCAGTGATCTGCTTAAGAAGATATCTAAATTATGAGGCTGCTCAGGGGAGACGGGGGGTGGGGGGGCAGGTGTTTGTCTCATGCCTGGGTGACTACGATCACAGTTAATCCAATATCATTTTGGGTGGGGGATACATTCCTCCTAAGAGGCAGAGTAACCCTGCCTTTCCAGGATCGTCTTGAGGATATTTCTTGCAGAAAAAAATAATGTAGGAAGCTGCTCCAGTTCTCTAAACTGTTTTACTTGTTTTTCTGAACAAAGCAGTACCAGTGGGTTTCCAGTTGTATGGACATCATTCATAAATAGTAATTTTTACATCTAGCACCAGCCAATGTGAAAACAAAGAGCTACAGGTATAATTGCACGTTATGCAAAACTATACCATGATACTGGGAAAAATAGTATCTGCCTCACTTCACTCTTCCCCACCTTTTAAAAAAGCTTTTTACTAATGATGAATTTGAGAAGTTTTAGGAAAACAAAGTGTGTTCCCCATACCCTATCATATTCTGTTTCTGTGTTTGCTACTTCAGTATTTTTATTACTTTTTTGCATTACTGATATTGCTACCAATGTTTTTATAATTTGGCAGAGAAATATTTCATTTTAGGCCCTTGATTGCTGCTTTCTGATTGGCAGTATACTGCTGAACAACAACTTGTACTGAAGGTAATGTTAATACATAAGTTAGCCGATCTAAATTATTGACACACTGTAATAATACTTTAATGAGCACCTGCTGTATGTCAGCCTTCAACTACATCTTTAACTCCTGAAACACAGCTAGAAAGCTCTATTGTTTCAATGTCCTTACTTGAATGTCACATAAATCACATAATTCAATCTCTTTCAGTTGGGTGTGCATGGAGGAAAAGGCATATTCATTAATATCTGTGTTTTTACTCAATTAGTTATTTAGTAAATATTTTTTGAGCATCTGGGTTAAATATTGGGGATACAGTGGTAACAAAACAGACTAAGTACCTGCCCTTATTGGAATTTACATTCTGTGGGGAGCCAAATTCACGAAAGTATTTAAATAGTATAAAGTCATGTAAACTACCACCAAACAACATAAATTAAAAATAGCACAAAAGAAAAACCTGGATTTCACAAGAAGCCAGGAATAAAACTGAAAAACAATTTCATTCTAATCTGTATTATTTCTAGGGTTTTTAGGGAGAATCAAAGTTATATGTCATATACTTTGTACAATACCTAGTATATAACAGTGTTTATAAAAGATGTTTAATATATTGATTATATTAACGTTTTAGTTATGAAGATTATTATTGTTACTATGTATGGATGCCACATACATTTCTGTGCTTCCAAATAGTCAGTGCAAAGACATAGATAAATTTAGTAACTCAAACTTTTGCAATTGCTGTCATATAGTAAAATAAACAATTACTCTTGAAAAGCATAAGTAGTATTCTTGGCCCTCAGACTACACTGTAATTTCTCCCACTATTCAAAGGAACGAAGACAGTGGTTGATTAAAACATGACATCTTCTTAATGTTAGAGGCCATAATGAGTTGATGTTTTTCATAACACCCCTCAAAAATACTGAAAGGCACCAAGTAACTATAATCAGGGAGGATATGACAGGATGCACTAAAATGGGTGTGTTATGCAGCTCCCTACATTGTTTAAGAGGTAGATTTGATCATATTTTACAGTACATGGACTACGTGCCCTTTAAGAAAAATCTCTAAAAAAAATTCTGGCTCAGAAATTAATAAAAATACAAGAGCTCAAAATGGCCATGAATAAAAATACCTGGATTACAGTTCTTTGTTGCCAGCTAAGTAGAGGTCCACACGATGTCATAGATCATTTATCCAGGGACACAATCAATGTTCCCTTTGAAACGTGTGGTATCCAAAAGTTCCCATGACAAAAGAAAGAACTTTGAATGTGTCTGTGCTGAGAAGGCTAAAAGTCTCCTTAAAATATAATTTTAAATCCACAACTAATAAATAGTAAATTCTGGATTTCAACCCAGGCCTGTCTGATGCCCAAGCTGATTTTTTATCTACTATACCTACATGCAAAATTCAGTGTTAGGACAGCAAATGACACAATAGTTTTTACTTTGTCCAATGGTTTTTACTTTTTAAAATATATTTTTCTTCTGAGTATGATTTTAACCACCTAAAACTTTCAACAGTAGTATAAAAAATTTAGTGAGAGATAAAGTTGTAGTTATAAAGTGTTAAGCATATAATTATATGTCTTTAATATATACAACATATTTTATATCTATTTTTTATTTAAATAAATAAGTCAAATATTTGACTTATTTGAAGCATACATGCATTAATTTATATCTAAGGAAAAGATAAAATTGATAGTGAATGAAAGTATTTTTTGATAATACATAATTAGTCCCTCTGTTTTTGAAAATAAAAACAAGGGAGAGCTTTTCTATATTTATATAGAATGGATTGGTAGTGATATTTTTAAATTACTTATTAAATTTTATTGAAGGCCAGTCTAATGGATAATTTTATGTACCAATATGCCTGGACCACTGTGCTCACATATTTGGTAAAACATGATCCTGGATGTTTCCGTGAAGGTGTTTTTGGATGAGATCAACATTTAAATCAGTGGACTTGAGTAAAACAGATGACCTTCTGTAACAGAAGTGGGCTTCATCCCATCAGTTGGAGACCTTAATAGAACAAAGGCTGACTACCCCTGAATAAGAATGAATTCTGCAGCATACTGTCTTTGGACTCAAAGTGCAATTCCTTCCTGGGTCTCCAGCCAGTTGGCCCACTCTGCAGATTATAGATGCATCAAGACTCTTCACTTACATGAGCCAATTCCTTAAAATAAATCTCTCTTGCTTTATAGATACATACATGTGTCATGTTGGTTCTGTTTATCTGAAAAACCCCAACTAATACAATCACAAAAATAATTTGCAGAAGAATCCAAATGTATCAGAGTTTCTTGAACCAAGAAATCTAAACACATAGTGTATAATGTCTTGGAGAATTTAGGTGAGTTGGTGGTATGAGTAAACATGAATATAAACTAAATATAATAGGATAATTAAATTACCTGAAAAGATACAAATTAAGTATTATATACAAATTTATATCAAGATCAGTGGGTCTAGAGTGGACTGACTACCAAGAGAGAAGAGTTAATGAATGAATAAAAAATGGACTGTTATTTATACTATCAGGTTTGACCAATAGAAAAATGTAAGTAGGTAATATTTAAACTACATTGAGCATGAAATGGTTCTTAGTATTGAGATGAGAAAAATCAGAAAAGATGAAGAATGAGATGAAAATATTTCCATAGAAAAGTTTTATTAGATACAAAACTTGAAACTAGCCACATTTTTGTACTTATAGGGGTTTCTATAAACCACTGGTCATAAAACATGCAAAAATATTTTCCCCAAACATTAAATTTGGCTCCATTATTGAGTGCCTGGTGTGTTGCAGATGCGGTAGTGAGTGCACCCTGCAATCCTATGCAATAGGAATCACATCTCCTTTCACAACTGGGTAACATGCAAGCCAAGCAACTAGCTCATGTCTACGTAGCTAGAAAGTGCTGTAGAGTTGCCATTGCTTTTGGTGTTTTGGACATGAAGTCCTTGCCCACGCCTATGTCCTGAATGGTAATGCCTAGGTTTTCTTCTAGGGTTTTTATGGTTTTAGGTTTAACGTTTAAATCTTTAATCCATCTTGAATTGATTTTTGTATAAGGTGTAAGGAAGGGATCCAGTTTCAGCTTTCTACATATGGCTAGCCAGTTTTCCCAGCACCATTTATTAAATAGGGAATCCTTTCCCCATTGCTTGTTTTTCTCAGGTTTGTCAAAGATCAGATAGTTGTAGATATGCGGCATTATTTCTGAGGGCTCTGTTCTGTTCCATTGATCTATATCTCTGTTTTGGTACCAGTACCATGCTGTTTTGGTTACTGTAGCCTTGTAGTATAGTTTGAAGTCAGGTAGTGTGATGCCTCCAGACAAAATTGACAAATGGGATCTAATTAAACTAAAGAGCTTCTGCACAGCAAAAGAAACTACCATCAGAGTGAACAGGCAACCTACAACATGGGAGAAAATTTTTGCAACCTACTCATCTGACAAAGGGCTAATATCCAGAATCTACAATGAACTCAAACAAATTTACAAGAAAAAAACAAACAACCCCATCAAAAAGTGGGCGAAGGACATGAACAGACACTTCTCAAAAGAAGACATTTATGCAGCCAAAAAACACATGAAGAAATGCTCATCATCACTGGCCATCAGAGAAATGCAAATCAAAACCACTATGAGATATCATCTCACACCAGTTAGAATGGCAATCATTAAAAAGTCAGGAAACAACAGGTGCTGGAGAGGATGCGGAGAAATAGGAACACTTTTACACTGTTGGTGGGACTGTAAACTAGTTCAACCATTGTGGAAGTCAGTGTGGCGATTCCTCAGGGATCTAGAACTAGAAATACCATTTGACCCAGCCATCCCATTACTGGGTATATACCCAAATGAGTATAAATCATGCTGCTATAAAGACACATGCACACGTATGTTTATTGCGGCACTATTCACAATAGCAAAGACTTGGAACCAACCCAAATGCCCAACAATGATAGACTGGATTAAGAAAATGTGGCACATATACACCATGGAATACTATGCAGCCATAAAAAATGATGAGTTCATATCCTTTGTAGGGACATGGATGAAATTGGAAACCATCATTCTCAGTAAACTATCGCAAGAACAAAAAACCAAACACCGCATATTCTCACTCATAGGTGGGAATTGAACAATGAGATCACATGGACACAGGAAGGGGAATATCACACTCTGGGGACTGTGGTGGGGTCGGGGGAGGGGGGAGGGATAGCATTGGGAGATATACCTAATGCTAGATGACACATTAGTGGGTGCAGTGCACCAGCATGGCACATGTATACATATGTAACTAACCTGCACAATGTGCACATGTACCCTAAAACTTAGAGTATAATAAAAAAAAAAAAAAAAAAAAAAAGAATTGTAAAAAAAAAAAAAAAAAAAAAAAAAAAAAGAAAGTGCTGTAGAGAACGTTGAAATTCAAATCTGACCAGCTTCCAATCAATCCTCCCAACGTGCTATGATGAAAAGTATACAAGTTACCAGAAAAGAGGTTTTGGATTCTCAGCCTTGAGTGATGCTTAAATAGGTGAACAACCATCGTCTGTCCTGTTTGAAATTAGGTCTTTCTGATAAGAGCATAGGAAACAGCTAATTTCCTGAGACCTTTTCCAGGTTTACTAGCGTCTAATTTTTCCTGCAACAGTTAGTTTTAGTGATTTATTATAACCTCCAAGATAATGCAAAATGAATTCTTTTTTCTTTCTAGATAAATGTGCTCAGGATATTTAAACTGGCAACAAAAGTTATCAAAATTATGCTATGAAAAAGTAATTTTATTTGTAGTTATGAAAAAGGTTTTTGTATATAAAGAGAATCTTCATACTATAGAGTACATGTTTTAATTTTTGCATACGTGTTCCATCATTAATCATGAAACTGCATTTTAAATCTGTTTTCTAAGAAACACTCCGATTTTGAAAATAGAACTGCCTTTGTTCTCATCATGGAAATAGTTTTCACTAACATCCACATAAACAATAAACAAATGTGAGTTTCAATATCATATACTGAAATAACTATTGCTGTCACAAGGATAACTGTAAAGGAGTTTATTCTACTTGTCATTAAAAATCAAAACAGGTCCAAACATTCATATACATGAAAGATGTAAGTCCATTTTATATAAACTGTATGTGCCAATACCTGCACAGATAACTGATCTTATTATACACAAAGGTAAGTTTTTAATATATTTTTTAAAATATCTGTTAATAACATATTTTAAAATATAACTTGTCCTCTTAACTATCTCAACGTTTTGTTTTATATTAAATTAATATATTTATTAACCTCCATTGGGTCACAGCAAGTAGGGACGAACACCATAGAAATAGCTTTTTTGTAATGTCTCACTGCTACAGGAGGGCAAGATTTGGTGAGATACTAAAATATCTAAAGAATTGAATAAGTTGCTTTGCAGAGTCAGGGTAACAGCAGATGTTAACATCAGTTTTTGTGTAATTCTGTTTTCCTGATAGAGTATGATCAAATAACCTAACATATATAAAGGTGGAGAAAGTGGTGAGGCATGGATATCATTAGAATTTCTGTATGACAGAAGCTTGGATGTCATTTTCCTATACACAAAATAAATGAGGAGGAATTGATTTAGAGGAGAGATAATGTATCCCCTTTGAGCACTTATAATTGGAAACTCTTATGAGATTACCAGATAAAGTTCAGTTGAGAGTTTGGAGTTGAATTATATATTAGGCTGAATCCCATGAAATTATGGATATTTGACCATTTGACCTATAAAAATGACAATTTTGGGGTTTCAACCTATGTGCAGATTTGAGAGAATCAGCATATGGCTTAGGAAGCATGGGTAAAATGGTGAAAGAAGAACTCAGGAGGAGAAATATTTGCATTTAAGAGGTTTCCGTTTGCATCGTGTTGGTTTTGTATACTACTCTCGGAATTATTTTTTAGTAGTAAATGAACCTGAAGCACACACTTTAGATTTTTTATATCAGTCAATAACCATCAAACCTAAAATTGAATTAACATGATTTCTTTAGCAATTAATCTCCATTGGGTCACAGCAAGCAGAGACGAACACCATAGAAACCGTTTTTTCGTAATGTCTCACTGCTATGGGAGGGCAGGATTTGGTGAGATACTAAAACTTCTAAATGGGAAAACTTTGGTTTACCACTTGGCCGGAGACGAGGAAAGGTGGCAAGGCTTGCTGGATATTTGTAGCTTTTGAAGTTCAGCCTTCCTTCAGAATCCTCTCCCATTTGCAGGCTCAGAACAAGCCCCTTAGGTGGAGCTAATGCCTCCTCCTGTTCCAGGATGGTTATATAATATAGGACTGGCCAATTTGACAATTGCCCCAATCTGGCTACAGTGATTGATTGTAGAAAGTTGTATGATCAAATTTAGGTCATGTAAATTAGGCCCAAGACTTTAGTTCACATTCTTGGGAAACAAGTATTACTCTGCTAGACTTGAACCTGGGAGGAGGCAGATCCGGAGACGTTGCAGTCTTGATTAATATGCAGAAAGCAAGAAGTTGATGAATAGAAGCAAGTAGGAAGTTATTAATTGAGTTCCTTCTAGATATGATCTCTAGGACCAAAAACTTCATGGGAGATCTCCGCATTGGGGATACCACGAGCAGACTTAAGCTATTTATCTTTCATTGGGCATAGTCTTACAAACTAAAAGCATCTTTACCCTTTAAAATCAAGAGAAAAGTCATTGTGAAATCAGACGTCCTTTTAGACCATATTTCAAACTGCACCTGCATAAGGACTGTAATGGAGATAAATGCAACTTCTATTGCATTCAGAGATCTCCATCATTTTTCAGAATCTCTTACTGAAAAATTCTATTTCCACATATACATTTCACAAATATATTCAAAACTTACCTAAATTTGAAAATCTTTCTCTATAAGAAAATAAATCATTTTTATAGCCTATACTTTCACTCATTCTGCTATCTGAAATGTACCTTTTCTCATAATTTTTCCATAAAAATCTCTTCTTTTAAACCCAGCTTAGAAACCAACAGTCAGTGAGATCTGGGTGGTTTTCGTTGTGGTTGTTTGTTTTGTTTTTAGCATATTCTAATCTCCCCCTCCAAATCCATCCCCCAAAGCCTCTGGAAATCATCATTCTACCGTCTGCTTCTACGTCAACAAGATTTTGAGTAGCATCTTTCTCAATCCACATCATAAAACATGTTTATATTAACTTGTTTTTTCTGTCCAAAATATTAATTAAATATTTATTAATGTGTCAAATACTGTGTTCATTAGTGAAGGTTTTTTTAAAATGCTAGAATATATCCCTGATCTAAAGGAACGTTTTGTCCTGGGGGAATGACAAGTATGTTAAGAATTCATTAACCTCTGAAAATAACTTCCAGTACATAATTACAAGTGAGAAAATCAGAAGAAAACGAGGTGTGTGAGGGCAAGAAAAAGAGGTAAAACCTGGTGAAGAGAGATTCTGTTAAGCAGAGAAGAGACAGATACAGATCATGAAAATACCTTCATACTCAAGTAAAAGGCTGGATTTTATCATAAAGAGTAATGGAGAACCATTAAATGATTTTAAGTAAGAGTGCATCAATAACCAGGTTGCATTTTAAATGCTCACTTTGGCATCAGGATGGAGTACGAATAAAGTTATCTTTCATTTTTATTTGCCTCAGACAGTTCTGGTTCATATCTATTGTATTGTTGTAATTACTAATTGTCCTCCTTCATTCTTAGATATGTCCTGGTTTAGATAGTAAATTATGTGTTCACCCTAAGAGTGGCCCAGGATTAGGATAAAGGAGGCAAGAGAAGCTAGTTAGTGGCCAGGGAGATGGGGGGAAAAGATGGAAGCATTTTATTCAACCATAGCCAATTACTTGTACCTTGATTTAGCACTTAATGCATTTTATTTTGTGTTAGGATTCATTATTTATATGTTTATTTTCCCCGTTCAATCTGAAATTCCTTGAGGGCAAGGACTACATCTTCCAGGCCTTTTTGTCTTCAGAGATTAGTAACAAACTGTTCACTGAATGAATACATATTGACTTGAAGTAATACAATTTTACTGGTACATTTTCTGAAGAGAAATACGTTATTAAAGCCTTTGGTTATTTTTCATGGGAAATGAAACTATAGCCACACAAGTTAATGATATGTAGCAATGCATAGTGTTAATCCTTTCCTCTTGTTCTACTGAATGACTTCTTCATATTAGACTATCAAATGAGGTCTCCATTAATTAAAAATAACTCAGAGTTAACAAGAGATGGGGTAGCTATAACCGATTAATGGCAGGGGGGCATTGGGCCTGGTAAAAGAGTCTCAAGAAAAAGCATTTGAATAAATAACTAAATTCTCCATTTTTGTGTCGTTGGCACAGATAAGTCTTTGCTGCTTCTTAACTCTCTTTCCAAACTATCTTAGACATTCTGTTTCATAGTTTATAATGTTGTATGATAATTACTTGGTCATGTGTCCTTGAGCTGCTCAAGGCAAGAACTATAGCTTATGTATCATTAAATCACCATTGCCTAGAAAAATTCCTGGTACTCAGCCAGGTTTTTAATCCTCTGGAAGCACTGACATTTAAGTGATTACCTTTGTAGAAATGGTGCTTTCGATTAAATCACCAAAATAACAGTTATTCTTTAAAACACTGTCCAAGTAAAAAGGATGTTATTTAGGAATAGTAAATTTGTTATTACATATAAAAAAAGGTGAACATCAAATAAGGTGGTCTGTCTACCGTTCACTGCATAAGTGGATCCCCATGTACTGCTGTAATTAACACACAATATGAACTTAAAGTGTTCAGTTTAAGCTTTTTTCCTCAAATTAAATTGCTTTATGGTTTCCTGGAGAATTGCTGTCTAAAGTTTATCAGCAAGATAACTATGATTCCATACACAGAATCCTACATTAAACAGCAAATTTGCTGCTACAGCTTTCAACATTTTTGCTTCTTTCACTATTGCAATTTTTCTCACTCAAATATATAAAATTCAACAATGGGCATGCTAGGTCATATGTAATTTGTAATGCTAGCAGCATTGGCAGGTATCCTCAGTGTAAATGATGCTGACACCCACTCTTTACATTTTATAACCACATTTATTTTCTGTCTGATTTTTCCAAAACTCAATAAAAATTATTTATGCCAAAAACTGCATGATAGATTTACAACTCCCTCATATTTTGACCTACTTTTCCCCAATAACCCCAAAAGGTCTTGACCTCTATTATCAAAATCTTGATGCAGATGGAAGCTCTGATGAGATTCTAATTAAGTGAAAACCTTTCTGTAATTATACATGTTCACTGTTTAATGAGAATCTTTCTATAATTAGAAATTTATTTGGACACTTTAAGATTTCACAGGCTGTTGCTGTGGTGTCCTAATTCAAACATGTTTCATTCATGTGGGGGCAAAGTTCTCTCGCCCACAAATGTATCAATGCCAAGGGAAATTTCTCCTTTAATTAAGTGTACTATATTGTTGACTGATGACTCACACAACTTATTTTCACTCTTCTTTTTCTCTTCTTTTACACATGGTCAAAACTGGTGCCCTAAGAGGTACAATAATTCAATATTTGTGGTTAAGTGTTAAGTGTTTATTAGTGTCCTAATACATTTCTAACTATGATTTTTTAAAAATTTGGTCAAATTTTACCTTAGAAAGAGCCACAAAAGCTTTTGAGTGTGTTGGGAATAATAAGGACAGTCAAAAGAGAGAAACACGAGGAGGCTGCATGGACAAATATCTTCGGTGGATAATGACGGGACCTGGGGATGGGGAGGCAGGAAGCCTGAGAAATTCAATTTACCGTGAAGATCCCTCCAGAGCTCTAGTTTCTTTTGGGTTCCTCTCTATATTGTAGAATGTTTCTTATTAATTCAGTGTTGTTAAATAGCTTGTCCTTGCTCCCGCCTTCTCAATACACTAGAGAAATCACGTTCCTACCAGAACTGTGCATCACAGGAAACCAAGTTTTACTCACAGGTAGAAAGTTCCATACTGTGAGTCAGACAGTAAGAAAGGGCAAAACCTGTGGCTGGGAAGAAAGCTGCTGGCATCATCCCAACCAACCAACTGGGCGGTGTCTGGGAGTAGCCTTTTCCATACTCTCAAAAACATATTTAGCACTTGCGTTTGTTAGCCTGTAATTGTTTAAAGTCAACGCTTTCCTCCCTGACTGGGAGGATATTGAACCTCTTTCTGTTCACTTAGAGAATCATAACATTTCCCATCATTAAGGATAAACTTTAGAAACTTTAGTGCAGTATCTGAGGGAGTGACTATCAGAGATCCAATAATTTGCTCCAAATCTCAAAGCTGCCCGTTCAATGGGACCAGAAGTCTGTGACACTCAGTTCAGCTGTGTTGAGAACTCTTGTTTTCTCAACACAGACTGATGAGGGAGCATACCAGCATTAAGCATGAGCTGACCTAACATTGGGCTTGTCTTTTGAAGATTCAGTCATCACACTGGTATCCGTGGCATAAAATGTAAATAGATGTAAATAGTTTGTGTAACTTTCTAGTAAATATAAACACTGATAACTTTCAGAAAATGTTGTCTTAATTTCCAGCAAAATAAACATTAACAAGTGCTGTGTGAAGATTTAAATAATATGGTGGTTGTATTAATCAAAATCCTTTCAAAATTGTATATTGAAATTCAAAATGAAATAAAATGTTTTATTCTTAAGACCATACTTAAAATATTCAGGAGAATAAATAAGTAAATGAACTATGCAAAAGCCTCCTTTATAAAATATATAGCATGAAATTAGAACACTTAGAGATATTTCTGGCAGTGCTTATGAACTTAAATTCTACTTGTTTATCAGGTTTTTTTGTTTGTTTTCTAGGCATTGGCCTATAGTATTTTACTTTTGATTTGCTATGACACTTTGCTATTTGTATCAAGTGTTTACTCTTTTCAATTCGATTCTTAAATCATTTGAGAAAGAGGATGTGCATTCTTTTATATCTTTCACAGAATCAAAGACAGAGTGATGGGAGTACAGAGATCGTCTATATTAGATGATAGTCGGGTAATTTTAAAGTGTCCTTTTTCAATATATTGCTTCACAGAACTCAACCATGTGAGAACAGAAATGGCATTCTAGTGAAAGCAAGTGTTTATTTCACATATTTTTCAATCCATCGGAGATTTCTTAATGTTTAGATGTTTTGATTATTCTAAATGCAAGTACATAGTACCCTATATTAGAGCTTTCGAAAAATTCTCAAACTAAAATACTGTCCCTATTATCAATCCTGGAGTATTTAAAGAGACTATTTAAATTCTTTACCTTTCAATTTACTTTCTTCAATGACTAGTATTTACTCCCAGAGAAAGTTCAAGTTTACGGATAACATCAATTTATTTATGACACAATAAATCTTTTAAATCTGATAAAAATTACAACGTTATAAAGTATATTAAGTTCCTCTAACAGATGACTTAACTTCTACACTTTCTGACATTTTCCGCAATAACATTTTATTTTAAATGCCAACCATACATAAATTCAATCTCGTCACAGACATAGAGATGTTCAAAAGTTCTCAATTTTAGACAGGGGTGGGGGATTGGAAGGAAGCAGGCCAGAGAGAGAGAAAGAGAGAATAACTTTAAAAGTCTGTATCTGAAAATGCCTCAAAATGTTCATCCCTGCTGTAACTTAAAAAAAAAGAAACAGCCTGAAATGTGGCAATAAATTATGCAATGCTTCATAAATTTTGAATTGCCGATTGTAACTGTGGCATAATGTTTCAGAACAATGTCATAGAGAAAGAAACTTCTAATACCGCTTCTTCCTGTGTTTGCAATATAATTTCTCTACTTTTAAAGAAAAAGGATACCACAAATTTAAATTAAACCAATCTATCAATATTTTAGGGTGAGATGATTCCTGAGATAGTCAAATAAACACATTCACCTCTGACTTCATAAAGTTTAGGGGTCCCCAAAATTAATTCATTTTAAGAGCTATAAGACCTTATATCAAGTTCTGATATGTAACAGAACAGAATCAGTTATATACTATTTTTAACTACTATAACATTGCTGATGTTTTGGACATACACAGTTCATAAATGAGCCATTTTTAATTAATTTCAGTTTTCAATATTATCTATATAAAATAATGTTTAAGATACTTTGTCTTAAAAATGTAGATGATTACAAAATACAGAACCAACTTAACAGCTGGCTTCTTTCTGAGAGCATGTTTATTTTTAAGACTGCTTTTTGACAATGTGTACAGTTTCTCGTACTCATATTCATTACTTTTTAGATGAATTGCTAGAATAGATCTCTATTTCTATTCTCTTTTTTCCCTGCTGGGGGCAATGTCCCTCCATTACTATTTAGGAAATGACTAGAAAGTACTTACAGGGAAACAGAACGTTCTTTTAAGCAACAGTCTCAGTCACTAAAGTGAAATGAGGGCAGTATGCCAAATATACGTCCTAATAAAACATTTTAACAATTGCGAATGCATAAAGTTTTATAGCGTATTTCTACAGTCTGCATAGTAAATTTTTTAAAATGATGCAATAATGAATAGAAATGAATTCTTTTTCCCACCTGCACAATAATTTTATATAGGAAGTGTTTATTACTAGAATTCTTAGAGTCCCCTAAAACTAGCTATACATTTTCTTTTTGGTACTTCTTATATCATAATTCATAAGTTGAAAAGATATAAGACAAGAAATGAATAACTGTAAAACTAGATCCATGTATTTTCTTTTTGGTACTCCTTATATGATAACCCATAAGTTGAAGAGATATAAGACAAGAAATGAGTAACAGATTGGAAAGAATAATCTTATTTAGCTACAAAATTATGATAATGTATGTAGTCACATTCTTATTTCATAAGTTGAAATTAGTACTTTGTTAAATTCAGTTGTATTCCTTTAAAATTCATTTTGAAATGTTCATAGTTATTCAAGAACTACGTACAGTGATAAAAGTGCAATCTATTTTTTAAATCTATGCCAAGAAAATTATAAAAAGTTATGATAAAATGCATTTCTTATTTGATATACCTGAAGTATTTTAACTTTGTTCGCATTTAATTTTGTATACAGAAACAACCATTAAACTCTTACTGTAGAATCATTAAATACACACACACAACTAAACACAGAGAAAAGTGGCAGAGCGCCGTGCCTCACAATTTCCAAAACCTCAATTAGCTGGAATTCAAACAACAAGAAGAATATTTTCTTTTTATCCATTAGTTCTTCCCCGACAATTTTGGCCTGGGGTTGTCTCTCTTCTTTTTGACCCACAAAAACATGAATTTCTGGAATTACGTATATGATCAATTGTAGTCCACCCTGTATTCCCATTCCTTCTGTTCATATTTGTCCTTAAACACATCTGTGATATATTCAGTTATTTTTCTTATTTTTCTCCTGTGATTTCCCCAATGCTTGCAAATGTGATAGTAGACATATGTTTTAAAAATATTTTTCAACAAACAAGATATGAAACAAGGTATGAACAAATCATCATTTTCTCATGACATTTTAGTAAGCACGCATTTCATTTAACAGAATGGCTGAGCACTCCAAAGGACAAGCAATTTCTTTTACATGCATTTAATATATGACATCACCACTTTAATTTTCTTAGTACTTGGGTAGTTTCTGGTTAGGAGAGGGAGGTGACAATGAGATGGAACCATTCTAGACATGGAAATAAAGAGAATTAAAGTGTCTTCTCAGAATCAATCCGCATGTGTTTGTGCTTGTGTGCGTGCGCACACACACACATACACAACTAGGTCAAAATTTGAAAAAAAAAATGTAATAAAGACAGAATGAACAACAGAAAAGAATGAGACTAAGAAATTAAAAATTACTACTAACAACAGTAACAGTAACAATCAGCCCTATGTGGGAACATTTGCATTACGACTCACAAGAAAAAGCAAGAATCAAATCAGATGCCTGTGACATTCTCTGGCTATTGTATCTATCTTCCAATTAATGATGGAGATTATTGTTGCCAGATCTGGCTGGCCTAGATTGTTCCCTCAATAAATTAGATTCTTGGTCAAAGGGGAGGAATTTGTCAGCCAAAAGGAGCTAGCTATTCAGTTACTGGACTATGAGGAACCAGAGTCCTATTTCTGGACCCTCTAAACAAACTTTTAAGTTCTGAATGCAAGAGTGTATGAGGATTACTGTCACAACATACATCAGGGTTCTGTCTAGGGAAATGTTTGTCCTAATGAATGAATTTGAGTCTTTAAGACATTGTGATGGTATAATGCATTGTGGAAATGAAAATGAAGTTATTAAATATTTGGATAATCTAATTAGCTTTTCTTGTTTTCAATACCATGCTGAAAAATGAACCATCTGATGTTTTTAAAAAATAAATATTTTTTCAACAGGATCCCAAGGCAGAGGAATTTTTCTTAGTGCAGAACAAAATGAAAAGTCTCCCATGTCTACTTCTTTCTACACAGACACGGCAACCATCCGATTTCTCAATCTTTTCCCCACCTTTCCCGCCTTTCTATTCCACAAAGCCGCCATTGTCATCCTGGCCCGTTCTCAATGAGCTGTTGGGCACACCTCCCAGACGGGGTGGTGGCCGGGCAGAGGGGCTCCTCACTTCCCAGTAGGGGCGGCCGGGCAGAGGCGCCCCTCACCTCCCGGACAGGGCGGCTGGCCGGGCAGGGGGGCTGACCCCCCCCACCTCCATCCCGGACGGGGCGGCTGGCCGGGCGGGGGGCTGACCCCCCAACCTCCCTCCCGGACGGGGCGGCTGGCCGGGTGGGGGGCTGACCCCCCCACCTCCCTCCCGGACGGGGCGGCTGGCCGGGCAGAGGGGCTCCTCACTTCCCAGTAGGGGCGGCCGGGCAGAGGCGCCCCTCACCTCCCGGACGGGGCGGCTGGCCGGGCAGGGGGGCCGACCCCCCCCACCTCCCTCCCAGACAGGGCGGCTGGCCGGGTGGGGGGGCGACCCCCCCACCTTCCTCCCGGACAGGGCGCTGGCCGGGCGGGGGGCCGACCCCCCCACCTCCCTCCCGGACGGGGCGGCTGGCCGGGCAGAGGGGCTCCTCACTTCCCAGTAGGGGCGGCCGGGCAGAGGCGCCCCTCACCTCCCCGACGGGGCGGCTGGCTGGGCAGGGGGGCTGATCCCCCCCCACCTCCCTCCCAGACGGGGCGGCTGGCCGGGCAGGGGGCTGACCCCCCCACCTCCCTCCCGGACGGGGCGGCTGGCCGGGCAGAGGGCTCCTCACTTCCCAGTAGGGGCGGCCGGGCAGAGGCGCCCCTCACCTCCCGGACGGGGCGGCTGGCCGGGCAGGGGGGCCGACCCCCCCCCACCTCCCTCCCGGACGGGGCGGCTGGCCGGGCAGAGGGGCTCCTCACTTCCCAGTAGGGGCGGCCGGGCAGAGGCGCCCCTCACCTCCCGGACGGGGCGGCTGGCCGGGCAGGATCCTGTTGATCTGTGACCTTACCCCCAACCCTGTGCTCTCTGAAACATGTGCTGTGTCCACTCAGGGTTGAATGGATTAAGGGCGGTGCAAGATGTGCTTTGTTAAACAGATGCTTGAAGGCAGCATGCTCGTTAAGAGTCATCACCAATCCCTAATCTCAAGTAATCAGGGACACAAACACTGCGGAAGGCCGCAGGGTCCTCTGCCTAGGAAAACCAGAGACCTTTGTTCACTTGTTTATCTGCTGACCTTCCCTCCACTATTGTCCCATGACCCTGCCAAATCCCCCTCTGTGAGAAACACCCAAGAATTATCAATAAAAAAATAAATTAAAAAAAAAAAAAAAAAAAAAAAAAAAAAGAATGGACTTTCCCAGGCCAGCTGTGGTGGCTCACGACTGTAATCCCAGCACTGTGGCAGGCCAAGGCGGGCAGATCACCTGAGATCAGGAGTTCAAGACCAGCCTGACCAACACGGAGAAACCCCGTCTCTACTAAAAATAAAAAAAATTAGCTGGGCGTGGTGGTGCATGCCTGTAATCCCAGCTACTTGGGAGGCTGAGGCAGGAGAATTGCTTGAACCCAGGAGGCAGAGGTTGTTGTGAGCTGAGATTGCACCATTGCACTCCAGCCTGGGCAACAAGAGGGAAACTCCATCAAAAAAAAAAAAAAAAAAAGGACTTTCTCAAAGAAAATGTATTTAAATGTCTGCACCAATAATTCCAGCATGTGTATGAATAAATGATATGTCCTTTAAAAAAATAAAAAAATAAAAAAATAAAAATAAAAAAAAATAAATATTTTTTCTATGAAATTTGGCCTATGGGGCCGGGCGCAGTGGCTCATGCCGGTAATCCCAGCACTTTGGGAGGCTGAGGTGGGCAGGTCATGAGGTCAGGAGATGGAGACCATCCTGGCCAACATGGTGAAACCCCGTCTCTACTAAAAATACAAAAAAAATTAACTGGGCATGGTGGTGTGCGCTGTAGGTAATCCCAGCTACTTGGGAGGCTGAGGCAGGAGAATCGCTTGAACTCTGGAGTTGGAGGTTGCAGTGAGCTGAGATCGTGCCACAGCACTCCAGCCTGGTGACAGAACAAGACTGCATCTCAAAAAAAAAAAAAGAAATTTGGCCTACAGGAAAATTATGTATTTTTTATAAGATAGAACCAACCTGTTATGTATGACAGCAGTCTATTAAAATCAGTAATTTGTTATTCTAGTTTATATACCAATCTCTTATAAGCTTTAGATAATGAGGGTCCAGCTTTGAGTGATGGGCCTGATCTCACTGTGTGGACATAATCAAGGTTTTCAACCTCTAAAACTGAGGTAAACTAAACTTACATTTGAATTGGCCATCAATCAATAGTCACTAAGAATGACAGCTGTGTTTCATTTCACTTTACTTTATATATGTTTATGAATGGAGGCATTAATAAACCCTACCAACTGTATCCAGATTTATTTAATCCTAGAGATAAAGGATGAATGGAAGCGTGTCTATAACACACTGCTTCTCCTGTCCTAATTTAATCATTTATTTCCAGTTTCTATAAGAGTTCTTTTGGACATTCCATCAGCAGCTCTATTTCACCATGTTTCACAGAAGCCAACATGTTCCATTGGAAATCTCGTACTCACTGTAACTGTTATTTACATGATCATCTTTCTAATTACACGGGCTTAAAATCAGAGTTACCTTTTAGCTTTTCCTTAACAGATCATGAGATATCGGAGACAGACAGATGTAGGTTCTATGACTACAGGTAATTTCTTTCACATCTCTCAGCCTTTATTTCTTTGGGTATAAAATGAGGATAATGACACAGCACTTACAGTATTGCTGTGAAGTAAAAAAAATGAGATGATGTCTGCATAAAGCTGAAGACAGTGCTGGCTGAAAAGGAAGGCTCAATAAATGCTCAAAGAAACCGGGAGTACATTATAATCTTGATATAACTGGGAAGCCACGTGTGCCACAGTTATGCCAGGAAGATAGCTGACATTTTTCTTTATCAAAATAAGAAATTGTGAAATGTCTGTGGAATGGTGCCTTGAGAATAACAGGCAGGAAGATTGTGAGCATAACACTGGTTTACGTCAGGTATCATTCTCTGCAGATGCTGCAAACATTGGGTGGATATTTATCTCTACATAAAATTGGACAAGATTCACCACTGAATGTAGAGAAAAACTGAATGAAAAGTGTCACCATGTTTAAATCATAAGTCTCCAAATAGAAATGATTTTGAATTTGTCATATGGCACGTTGATTCCAACCTTGTAACCCCAAACTGTTTTAGATATTTCAAAGCAGTCGCACGACATGTTAGAGCTGAATGGAATCTCAGATGTCATCTGAATTTTTTCACTTACAGTTGAGGTTGATGAGAATTAGTAAGGCTCAATCAGTAGTCACCCTGTTGTTAATGACAGTGCCTAAGCTGAGACTTGCTCTCGTCCCTCCTGAGTCAATGGTCTTTCCTTGCATTATTCCACTCGGTCTCCTAAACCTGACATTGAATGTCAATAACCATATTTCTTGCATCTCTCCCTATTCAATTTTATTCTAGGGTCCACTGGTATTTTCTTGACTCTAAATACAATGTAATAATATGGTATACATTTAAAGACCAAGATCTCAAACATGGAGGTCGAACAAGAAACATGTTCAAGTAATAACTTCCACATCTTCATGGTCGGATATTTTTATCCATTAAAAAATATTACTCTTTAAAAAGATTCAGGTCTACTAAGTATTGATTATGTATTTTTAAAATTGACTTTATTCCCAAGAAACATATATCATATAATAATACATATAAGATTTGAAATGACTAGTGATCTTGGAAAATAGTACACTTTTGCGTGAGGTATAGGTCAATTTGATAATAACAAATTTCTGTTCACAATATCTCCTTGTGTTAAGTAGCTACTAAAATTATAATGACATTAGAAATCGTGTATATGAGAATTTTTCCTTCCACACAGAAAGCCAAGGTGTTAATTGAATACAAAATTGATCAAAGTGATTTTTAGTAGGAAAAGAATCATGAGAACCAAAAAAGATAGATTACTATAACTATCATTCACAATTTCTTTCAGGTTTTATATATTTATTGCTCATTTACTCAAATACATGCTAATAGCTTTAAATCTTCTGTGCTGTGGTAACTTTATGATCCATGGTTCTTGCCATTAAGACAAATATTTTGATTTTTAGAAAATAGAATTACCTCCATATATTTTCTCTATGCACACTGTACTATCATCTGAGCTGTCAAGAGATTTTGAAATTTAGTAAACTCTCATGACTTACAGCCAGATACTCTAATTTTCCACACGAGAAAGCTGAGACCCTGAGGGCTAGGTTAATTTGTGGCAGGGTTATAACTACTATTAGATCTACTAGCTCAATATTCTTTGAGGATGCCATGTTGACTGTCTGTATAGTTTTTGATCTCTAGATTTATTCCTGAATAGGTTTTATTCAGTATTTCATTTCTTTATTTTTGTTCAACTCTATATCACTTTCATGGGAAAATCTTTGGCAAGGGAAAAAAAACTGTTAAGCAACCAAAATAAAATCTAACTATAGTAATCCCAACAAAATCCTCTATTGTGACAAATTTGAAAGGAAGAACTCAGAATAGTGATGTCATTTAATTGGGTAAACCATTAACAGTTTTTCTGTTTACCTCCATAATTTTGTTTCATCATCTCCACTTGGAAGGTTTTCTCTCTAGGGCTTAGCCCATTTCTACCCATCCTTTGAGACCAAGGTCAACTAGTACCTTCTCAATTACGCTTGCCTCAATTTTATAGTAATAAATTGTTTCTAAAGTTTTCCAGCACATTTTTAACCACTCATACACTGGTACTTATATATGCCTACCACACACTACATGGCATTTTAATTAAATAAATATGACTTGTTCCCCTTTCGCCTGAATTTTAGACTCGTTTGAAGGCAAGGATTACATCGTATATATCCCCTCTCCCTCACAATCATAACTACCCTGATGTTGTAGATGTTCTGAATAAAAGAGGCAGCTGTCACGTTTAAAGGGGAGGAGCAATCTGATAAATTTAAGTATAGCAGATTTGTCTCAACCATTCATAGTTTATATAAAGTAGTTACAGTAAATTGGTATATCCTTCTAAGGTTTCAAAGTAAGATAAGTATTCTATATTATCCATATGAAAATTATAAACCCTTTACATTCCATTCTTAAATGGAATGTATTCCATTTAAGCTTCATTGAAGCTGCTAAAAGATAAAACGCATGCCCTTAAAAAGGTGGGAAGGACAAGCAAGAGACATTATATGGAACTAACTTAAATGAGAAAGAGCGTGATAATTTTTTCCTAGGCTTCATGTTTGAGGCAGGAAGAAAAGCACCGTGAGACTAGCAGTGCAACCATACAGAGGTGGCCAGTACCTCTGACGGTGGAGCCCATACTGTCAGCAATCTGCCCAGGCATCCTTAGGAATCACCTTCACAGGACGAAACCAGCTATTGGGAAACACCTGTGACACCAACTGGAGTCAGCCCCATCAGAACGTTAATGCTGCAGGAAGAAGCCCTCAACCAATGATGGGTGCGGAGTTGGTAGGTGACTATTCCAGTGGTTTGGGCTTGTTTAGGATAACTCTAGGAGTATATTCTACCATGTCTCCAGGATGCCCTATCATTCAGAGCTCCAATTGTGCACAATGGCAGCTTGCTTTATATCACAGCTTTGTGCTACCTTCTCTTCCTCTTACTTCCTCAATCCTATACTATTAATTCCTGGGATGCACAGCTCATTTGCACTCAAATTTTTTTTTTTTTTTTTTTTATCACAGCGTGTTCTTCCAAGGGCAACAAAGACAGTATATTTTGTTTGTGATGCATTTCAGATAAAAATTTTGTGGCTATTTCTATTAAAAATGCTCATTTTGAAAAATCTCCTTTTGGTCTTATAAGTCTTTTTTAATACTCACAGTCTGTAAAGCCCCTCATGGGCTAACATGTTTCTTATCTAAGTTAGAGTCCAGAGTTGGCTCTTTTTGACATTTATAGATGACCCCATAGATTATGTCACTCACATGGCCTTCCGATTACAGGTAACGGCAATTCTATAGCCTGATAAACCATAGTTCAGGCTCAAACCGGAAATTTGACAAATCGAAATATGATGTATAAAATGTACTAATGCTGCAAAATTTGATTCATGAACAGAAAATAATCGGCCCTACTAGATATGCAAATTACTTTTTTGTGAATATCAAAAATCTGGGTTGGGAAAGCTTTTTAAAATTGTATCATGTTACATTTTAGGTGAGTGCTGATTCAAGAAAGATTTTATCATACAACTGCAAATTATAGTTAGGTTATCAGACTAATTGGAATAATGTTTTCGTGTATAAGTCTTTTAGATTTTATAAATATGCTACTTGAAAATTGGCTTTCCAGTTTAAAAAATGCATATCTCGTAACCATACTAAGACAGTATATTCCCTCTCATTTGTAGACAATAGATGTATATTTTCTTTCATTCATTAACTGCATACATTTGTTCATTCAAAAACATGAGCTCAGTACCTAATATCGCCGGCATTCTGCTAACAAGGAAATAGGCATGGTCTATGTCATTCAGAGTTTTATAATCTAGTGGATTTTTAAAATTGACCTTCCTATCACAAATGCTGAGGAAATACAAATGTCAAATTTTACTTTAGTTATCTAAGAGATTTTATGGGAATATATATTAAACTTGAGTAAATATAGCTTTTAGGCAAAAAAATATGAAATGTTATCGAGATAGTTGTTCATAGATTTATGAAAGATCTTGCCATTAAGAACAAAGTTATAGCAGAGGTATTTTATACCTTGGGCATTTATTAAAATAACAAGAGATCTTTGTATTTATTTTGTCCTGAAACATTAATTGCAACAGATTTATGAATGACCTAATTCTATATTAAGCTATAGCAATAAAAACTTTATTGCAACACTTGTTATGAGAAATATGACATAAAATTTTAAAAAGCAATTCTCAAATATTGTGTTTATTGTCTCTGCCTTGAAAGGTATATTTTCCCATGATTAGCATGCCTATGTAATTTTAAGCACTTCTCCAGTTTATGTTAAATTGTATGTTTAATAATTTAGGAAAGCACAAAAGCCACGATAAGAATTCAGAAACAATATCTATTCTATTCCCCCAAAAGATCCATGAATCTATTAAAATAAGTGTTTATACTTTTTACCATCCCAGAGTTCATTCAAAGTATGTTAAATCACTAAATTTATAATGCACAGGGCTATAGCTCTTCAGATCTTCGGAAATGCTGGTTGCTTTCTTAATTTAAACTCACTAAGCATAGGAAATAACAATATATTTGTTTTCTTACAGGTAATTTTTAACCTTTACAAAATCTCATATGCTCTAATTTAAGAAACTCTAAAATCCCATCTGCCACTACAATCTTCCAGGAAAAGAAATAGGATGAAATATAATTTGTGAACCTTAAATAATTCAATAATGTTATCTGATCAATTTTATTGGAAAAAATGAAAACACAGTTTAAGGGAAATGCTGATTTTAAAGTTCTTAAGGGTTTGAATGTTTATATTAATGAATGTTAATTCAGTGTTTATATTAATACATAGTGTCTGTTACATATAACAAGAAAAGTCTAAATGGGTTCTAAATAGATGCAAATAATGTAAATATGTAGATGAAGAAAGTTAACAAAGGATAGGAATACTGCTTATTTTCTTTGCTCTTCAGAGTCTATATTCCAGGAGTCAGCCATGGCAGATTATCACTCAGTCAATGTTAGCTAAAAGAACTTCTAGGTAAGAGGAAGTAGCGAATGGAGAGGGAATAAACTAATAATGGGAAATTGCATGCAAAATGCTCCATAAATAAAAATGTTTTATCAATTTGAAGTTTTATCCAATAAGAAGCATGCATGTCTCTCTTGATGTAAGTCATAGAATAAATGTGGTTTTACTGTATGAATTCATAAGAGATTAGACATAACCTTTTAAATGTTTTTTCATAAACCCAATATTCTTTATGCATTTACTCATTTAGAGGAGGTCTGGATATTTGATTCCTAAATAAAGATGTTTCCTGTTTACGTTTGTAGATCTTTGCCTTATTGAGTTGGTAGAACAAAAGACAAAGGAACTGCAGAAGATTTAAATCAACTATTTTATTTGTTCAGGAGGGAGGAGTCAAAGGACCACCTAGAGTGAGACATGGGTTGATTGATGTATGTGTTACTCTAGGGGACCCACTGCAACCATCTTTCGTTTATATCTTTACAGCTGGAAAAACACTTTCTATAAACCGTTCCAGCTTCCATGCTACCAGGGGTGATATATAATGATGTTTTTCCAGACATGAAAATGGACTGAGAGAATAAGTATCTTACTGACTTATATAAAGCCAGAAAGTGGGGGAGACAAGACTCTGAATTCACTTTCCCGACTGCTTCTGACATGCAGCTTCTCAAAAAGCAGGCACTTGTTTAGAAATACACATTTGTGTGTGAGTATATGTGTGTGTGAGTGTGCGCACATAGGAGTGTGCCCATCAAGTACTTTATTATTGGACACGAATGGCATCACTAGGTCCCATAGTGTCCGAGGGTACCACAAATTAGAGTAGGAAGTTGAGATGAAAAAATCCTGACTACAGAAGAAGAGCTTAGCCGAAAAGAGCAATCTTGCTCTGTGTTCTTTTTCTAAATTGATCTTATTTCTGAGCTTTGAATTACAGCAACACTGATGAGTCTCAAATCTGTACCACTAGATCTGATTAAGCTTAAATTCTCTATTTCCGTGTGTTTACCAGTTATTACCATGTTTTCTGCTATCACTTCACATGTTTGAAAGAGCCCCATCTGTTTTCTTCTCTGTCCCCAAACTGACTTCACTCCAACTTATCTATTTTCTCTGATTACCTCGTTATGCAATCATTTAAATCTGATATTTTATCCATCAACAGTCCCCTGAAAACTGACAAGTTCAATCTTTTCCCCGTTTTTTCTTCTATTGTCTTAGATTTGCTCCCGATCATCACAAATTTCTATTCTTTCCCCCTCCTCTACCTCCTCTATTCCATTCATCTAATTCATTTTAAAGGGCATAAAGATTTTACAAAAATATAAATTTTATTTTTTCCTCTACTCTCTTTTTCCTCCAACTATTCCTCCTGCTCCATTTTAATATTCTCTTTTTTCTCTGTCATCTTCTTCCTCTCTGAAGTCATCATTATCATCATCCTTTTCATTTCCATCACCCTCATCAATATTCACTGATCTTGTATTATATGATAAATTCTCTGCTGAAAATCTCACATACGTGACCTCATTTAAACCTCACAACTATTATGTAGGTCAAAATTGATATTGCTATTGTTCGAAAGATGCTCAGATGCTGAGATTAATAATGCATTCATTTTTACATAGACAAATACTGACAGTGTGACTCCACTAGCTCATCATGGCATCTTGTTTCATCACTGCTGCTCAGCAAAACCTTCTAAAAATGTCCTTCATAGAAAACAGAATTTTCTTCATAGAGAATTCTTCTTCAAAGAGCCATTAAATTCCTCTTCCTCCAGAGATAAGAACTCTTATCAGACTTCTTGTTCTTGTGATATATAATTTTTTATCATTTCTTTTTGCCCAAAATGCTAATTTTGGCCTGTAATTGTATATTTTCATCTGCTTTGAATATTCTTTCTTTTAAGCCTCCTACAGAATAGAGATTATTATCTAAGCTTCCATCTATTCCTGGGTGCCAAGAGGAGGGCTTGCTCATAGCAGGTGCTCAATATACACAGGTTGGGCACACCAGCAGGCTTCCCCCAGTTCACAAACACAATCACTGAACAGTAAGTAGTTGAATAATGATCGTTTTCATCGAAGTCTCTCTCCGTGGGTATGCCATCACCTGGAGGCATTCTGTGTTTCTTTGCCCCCTGTACATGTCAATCATTTCTCTTAAATGCTGATTAAAAATTATCCCTTCAAAAATCCCTTCCCTTGATAAACTTGCTTTGTATCAATACAGCATTTGTTCTGTTTGCAGAACTATTTGTGTTTCACACCTTTTTAACCTTTTATCCATGTTTATATACTTTGATTACCAACGCTACTGAAAATATTTGAAGGTAGGAAACATGCTTTATTTCTCATGAAAAATACGTAGTTTTATGCCCTACATATGCTCATTAATTTTTCTTAAAAAGCCTCTACACCTATTCTTACCTATAGAAGAAGCATAACTGACACAGAGCCCTAAAAGTATAAGTTGTATTAGTCATGATACGTTTTAAACTCTACATAAAGCATATGAAATATTGTATATCTTTTTGTATGTCTTTTCTTCTTAAGTTATGCATAGGTTTATATGTTGAGCTTTTTTTTTTTCTTTTGAGACAGTCTCACTCTGTCACCCAGGCTGGAGTGCAGTGGCACAATCTTGGCTTACTGCAACCTTCGTGTCCTGGATTCAAGTGATTCTCCTGCCTCAGCCTCCTGAGTAGCTGGAATTACAGGTGTGCACCACCACACCAACCTAATTTTTTGTATTTCAGTAGAGGCGGGGTTTCACCATGTTGGCCAGGCTGGTCTCGAACTCCTGACTTCAAATGATGCACCCACCTTGCCCTCCCAAAGTTCTGGGATTACAGGTGTGAGCCACCGCATCTGGCCTGTAGCAAACTTCAACTGAGCATCTACTATATGCAAAGAGCTGTGTATTCCTGTGGGATAAAGGCCTAAAACTTGTCCTGAAGGATTATCTGCTTGATTGTGGAGTATAAAACCAGCACATGGATTGGTAGGAGCAAAGAAGAAAAACAATTAAGTGCCAATGACAACATAAAAGGATGTTAGCGTTCCTTAGCATGCTGTATGCATTGTGGCAGCAGCAAGTACATCGAGAAAATTGTGTGTTGCAGGAACAATTTTTGCAAGGCCTTTAAAGATTTCTAAGGTCGTATCAATTCTCAGAACACATTTTGAAATAGACAAATGAAACAAGTCACTTAACTTTTTTTTTTTTCCAATTTGAATTTCGGATTTTGAAAGCCATGCAACTTTTGTTTAGGATTTACAGCATTTTCCATATATTTAACCTCTTTTTATATAGTGTGTTTGCTATTGTTCTAGTATTGTTTCATGTGTATAATATATGAGAAATAAGGTTGTAAATATTCTAAGGGCAGGAACCATATCATATACTTTTTTTTTTTTTTTTTTTTTTTTTTTTTTGAGACTCGCTCTGTCGCCCAGGCTGGAGTGCAGTGGCGGGATCTCGGCTCACTGCAAGCTCCGCCTCCCGGGTTCACGCCATTCTCCTGCCTCAGCCTCCCGAGTAGCTGGGACTACAGGCGCCCGCCACTACGCCCGGCTAATTTTTTGTATTTTTAGTAGAGACGGGGTTTCACCGTTTTAGCCGGGATGGTCTCGATCTCCTGATCTCGTGATCCGCCCGCCTCGGCCTCCCAAAGTGCTGGGATTACAGGCGTGAGCCACCGCGCCCGGCCCATATACTTCTTTTATGTCCCTCACAATCCCAAGTAGAATGCTATGCACATAACCCTCTTCTCTCAAAGTGTGATTCACCTGCATTCGAGTCATCTAATGTGGTGTTCAACTTCCAGGTGACTAATGCCAACATCCAGGTGACTAATCTCCATTCCAGACCGCATGAATCAGAAGGAATTACAATTCCTAGTAAGAACCTCAAGTAATTTTCAAGGAACATGAATGTATGAGAGCCACGAATAGAAAAGGTGTTAAGAACACGCTTGTTTTCTTTCTTTTTTTGTTCTTTTTGAGACAGGGTCTCATTCTTTTACCCAGGCTGGAGTGCAGTAGTGCACTCATAGCTCATTGCAGCCTGGAACTCCTGGACTCAAGAGATCCTCCTGTCTCAGCCTCCCGAGTAGCTGAGACTACAGGCATGGGCCACCACACCTAGCTAACTTTTTATTTGTTGTAGATAGGGGGGTCTCGCTATGTTACCCATACTGGTCTTAAACTTCTGGCCTCAGGTGATTTTTCCACCTCAGCCTCCCAAACTGTAATTACAGGCATGAGCCACCACACCCAGCCCTCAGAACACACTTATTGTGTCATGCAACAAAATGATATTGCTCAAACGTTCAAAACCCTTGTCTTGACAATCTACTAATTAGCATTTGTTTCAAACCGAGCATTTGCAAAAACATTTCTATTTTGAAGGATTTACAAACTTATGCTGGAAAGGCTGTCTCAAAATTTAACCTACATATTTCTAGGCAAAGACAGTGAAGTGAAGCAAGAAAACAAGGGAAGACAAGTGAACAAAAGATTCTAATTCTGTGTGTTATGCTAAAACCCCTAACTCGTTCCCATCATGGTCCTCAACCCCACGCCAGAACATAGTATAGAGGAACACGGATGAGTTCATAACATTCTGAGAATTTTCATCAAAACTTGTATTTCCAATTTGAAGAGATGTGGACTAAGAATAAGTATGCAGTCTTAGAAAATTCAAAGAAAAATTTTGAGAGAGGAAGCCCTGAGGTATCTCCCAAGGACCTCAGCACAAATGGAAAAAACTAACATAGGTTTCTCAGATATTATGTTATCTTAGGGTGTGTGTATAGAGGGAAAGGAGGATAAGTCAAAACCAGTCACAGTGGGACATACTATTGAGCAAGCAAAGCTGCCCTGCGAGAACTCATTGATAATATCTGGAAGAGAGAGCAGAGTCCAAGTATCTACTAGCCAGGCCTGGACTCAGCCCCGGTGTGGATCTTCTCCACCAAATTTACATGCCTGCAGACCAGAAAAAATGGTTGGAAAATAATATCCAGACCTCAAATAGGAACTAGAGCTGGGAAACAAACTGTTCTCCAAAAACAAGTCTCAGTGAAAAATATGCTTAGTCTGTATCACGTTAACCAGAAAGCCTGGATACAGCTGCTGTTCTAATGTGTAAGCAGGAAATACCCTGACAGATCTAGCCCAGCACAGTACAAACGAAAGAAGATCAAGTGGCAGGGTTGAAAGAACTGAAAGGAGGAGGAAAGACAAGGGAGAGAGGGAGAAGAGAAGAGGGTGATAAAACACCCACAATTGAGATGAATTATTTATTTTGAAATTTCAAAAAGAACATAAATTATCCAGATGAGCTTCAAGCTCTGGAAAAGTTTTAAAAATACAAATTTAATAAGACATTGTTAACAGATAAGACAAAATGACAGAAGATCAAAAGGGAGATTGCAAGCCCAGAAAATAAGCAAACAAAAATCTTTATATATCTTAATTTATTAAAATGGTGGACTTCATTGGAACTACCTCAGAAATTTTAAAAATGCCAATGTCTTGGATGCCTCAGAATTTATTAATGTAACAGCTCTGGGATGTAACCTGTCCTTGAGACTTTTAAAACTTCTACAGGCAATCCTAATGTTCAGGCAGGATTGAGAATTATTGAATTAGAAACACAAACCTATGATAGACATGCATGAAAACTCAAATAATGGGAAAAATAATTGTTTAACAATTCATAAATAAAGAGAAAAAAGCTAAAGATATTACATCAACTAGCAATTTATGCTATACACAGAAAACAAAGAGTCTCTAACATAAAGACTACTGGTATCTCTGAAGTGGAGACACTAAAAGAAAGAAAACTGTAATCAAAAATATAATAAATTAACATTTTCATAAAGTCAAGAAACAAGTGAGTCTGCAGATCAGAATTACACATTACACCAGGAAAGTTTTATATAGAAACATCAACATCAAGAAATCTACCAAATAATCATTCAACTTTAAGAACTAATAAAGAAATTTTAGGCATTCTTCAGAAAAAAAGAAAAAAAAAAAACACCACCCACAAATGATGGGATGCCCATAGGGGCTGGAAGAGAAGAATCAGATTTTCGTTCGAGTTCACCATAGCCTTTCAGTAACTGAAGATCGTGAAGCCATATGTAAGGTTGGAAAGCATAATGCACAAATACTATAGCCAACTAAAATCAGGGGCAACAGTAATTAGGTTTTCTCAAACATAAAAAGAAAAAACACAAAGAGGAAACACAGCACCCATGAAGTATTCTTGAAAAACTGTCACTCATGAAATCAAGACCACTACCTTGAGACTGGCTGTGCGCATTGACCCCACCTAGGCGTCAAAGGCTAAAGAACTGAAGAAAGTATGGAGGTGGAAAAGCATATGTCATTTTAAAATTAGCCGGGGGTGGTGGCGGGCGCGATGGCAGGCGCCTGTAGTCCCAGCTACTCTGGAGGCTGAGGCAGGAGAATGGCGTGAACCCGGGAGGCGGAGCTTGCAGTGAGCCGAGATGGCGCCACTGCACTCCAGCCTGGGCAACAGAGCAAGACTCTGTCTCAAAAAATAAAAAATAAAAAAAGTATATGCCATTTTAATCAGCAAAAATAATAATGAAATTAAAGCTGTAAAGTGATAGACAGTAATTTTTCTTTTTTTCTTTTTTGTTTGTTTTAAGACAGAGTCTCATTTTGTAGCCAGGCTGGAGTGCAGTGGGGGGAATCTCAGCTCACTGCAACCTCCACCTCCCAGGTTCAAGTGATTCCCATGCCTCAACCTCCCGAGTAGCTGGGACTACCGGCACGTACATCTGGCAAATATTTTGTATTTGTTAGTAGAGACGGGGTTTCACCATGTTGGCCAGGCTGGTCTCAAAACTCCTGATCTCAAGTGATCCGCCAGCTTTACTCTCCCAAACTGCTGGGATTAGAGGCCTGAGCCATCGCGCCCGGCCTAGAGAGTAAATATTTTAAGCTTTGTGAGCCAAACAGTCTCTGTCAAAACTTCTCAACCTGGCAACAGTTTTGGCAAAAAGCAGCCAGAGACAATCTGTGTGGCTATGTTCAAATACAACTTTATTCTATAAACGCTGCAATTCATTTTTACATACTTTTTAATGTATCATATAGTATTATTTTAAAAAAGAAAACTTTCAACCATTCAAAAATGATGAAACCATTCTTTTTTCACAGGCTTTTCCAGAATGGGAAAATTGGCCAAATTTGACTCATGTGTCGTAGTTTGGCAACCTCTGTTCTAGACCAAGGTTTCTCATCTTCAGCACAATTCACATCTTGGGATGGATCATGCTTTGTCGTAGAAACTGTCCTGGGCATTGATAATGCATTTTAGCAACCTCCCTGGCCTCTAATCAGTACGTGCCAATAGCACCCCTTAGACCTTGCCAAATGTGTACTGGTTGAGGACCATTACTAACCCAGTATGTACTGGGTGTAAGTAATCTCACATGTAAACTTTATTAACAGAGAATTCAGAGGGATTTTTCACTCTATGTGAACACTGACTTCATTAGGGCATATTATAATTACTTTTGCTGCCATTTTAACATTCAGATAAATGTTAAGATAAATTCCACATTTTTGTCATCACTTAAATCAACGTCAAGTCAATCTTTCAATCTATATATTTTTTAAGAGATTCCATTCACATTGCCTTTTTTGGCATATCAACATAAATAGAAATTGGATATGTAGAATCATTTAAAATACGAAAGCAAAGGGTATAAATGTCTTCTAGCAAAGCCTTTGGTAATGTCTCCTTTGTGAGTAGAGCAATTCCTGTCAATAATAGCTTAAGGTGGAAACTTATGAAGAGAAAATGGCTTAAGCATTATCAGATCTAAATTTTAGTGGCTTTCTGATATATTCAGCAAACAGGATTCTAAGTAAAACTTTATCTGCTTGGTGCAGTCAAAAAATGTAAGCACGTAAAGAAGATTCTCTCTCAATGAAGTAATTTAAGTAAAAACACCTGATGAAATATAAAGCTATGAAAGCAAAGGCTGACATTTGCACGTATGTATGTGTGTGTATGTATATTTCCAAGAGTGAATTTCTGTGTGTTCCTCGTGGTTCCAACTGACTTGGGCAACACAATTAGCACTAAATAAGTGCTTGTTAGTTGGCATAATACACATTGCAATATTAACAGTTCAGATGACTTTTCCTTTTCTTTCATTTTTATCATTACTTATAAATAACATTTTAAATGAGCTTTACATTTCAATGTTAATCCAATCATTTGTGAATAAATTAATGATTTTATTCATACGTTCAATTAGTATCAATTAGTTTTGGCTACTGTGCTTAGTATTGGTGACTACCATGAAGTATAGAGAAAAATTACCATCCTACAGAACTTACATTCTATCAGCAGAGTTATTGTGATGTCACTGTAGAAGTCTTCAGATTTCAGATCAGTAGTAAATATTACTTAAAAATAGCAACCACCTCCTCTTCTGTCTCTTCTGTTTTCCCTTTATACTTTCATTCCATGTACCAAAATGAAATACTCCAATTTTTTTTTCCTCCTTTCTTCCCTAGCTACTGGAGACACATTCACTCTTCTGTTTGGTGATCAAGGGATTATCAGTGTTTAGGGTTACATGAGGTTCTACATGCCCTATTGATGAGAACTGCAGTACCAACATAGTAAAATTCATGAGAAAAAAATCCAGTCAGTATTATGTGATGCTAAACTATGCCAGCTTCAGAACATATTTCCCTTTTAAATAAATAGTCCTCATATTGTGAACATGATTTCTACAGCTTGCTCTAAGGAGACGTTTTCTCCAGGGCAAGCTAGAATCCATATGAATATTTTATATATAACTTACAGAATTAAGAACATCACTCAGTAGTTCTCCAGAATTTTAGAGTAATTGAGGTCAACATGGAATCCTCTGGATGAGGGAATCTACCCACAAGCAGGAAAATGCAACAGAAAATAAATGAAGAAACATGGTTCATCGGACAGTGAAAATCAATGATGGGGAAATGGACCATTTTTGCCTCAGACATTTTTCACTGCTCACTGAGTCCAGTTCACCTGCTTGTGGTTGTTAACTTGGCAATTCTTCTACTTTGGTAAGTCTTTTGGTGTTAATTATGACCACCTGCTGTCAACTACTCATGAGGCAACTAAACTCTGGTTGTTTTGGTGGATAAGAGACATCAGTTTTTGAATTTCAAGGAGTTTTTTTCTAGCAATATTTCTGTGAATTAGTATGGAGAAAAAATCTTAGAAAATAAATTTTCAAATACATATTTTGATCATCTTAATGCATCAGATTGCTTTAGTAATGAACTGTTTTCAGGACATTTTACACGATGTTCTTCTCTCATGTCAATAATGAAAGATACTATCCATTTTAGTCTTAATTTCCTATAATGACTTTTGCCACATTTCTCCTTCAGGAAGCAGGTGTTATAGGCTGAGATGTTTGACAACCAATTGTGACACTGACTATAACACTTTTTTTAGAAGAGATGGCCTAGTTATATATTATTCCGGAGTAAGGTCTGTAAAGGTTCTTTATAGCAGAGGACATTTACTTGCTAAGAATCAATTTTGTATAAACCAGGTAAAGTGGGATTATGAAGTCTTCAGAGTCTCTTATGAAGTCTTCAGAATCCCTATCATTTTCTGTATATTAACCTTTAAGAACATATACTGTCTGGAACATAATGGTGAGGAAAGAGTTGCTAAGATGTTTAATGTACTTAAGAAATGTTTGCTTGCAACCCTTGAGGACTCCCATGTAGAAACTTCTCAGTTATCCAGATTTGTTCTCTAGTCTTAGACTCTAAAACTATCACTCAGTAGGCACCGGAGGAGGGGATGTTATCTGTTTCTCTTCCCATGACACACTCATTATGAGGCAAGGCCTAGCGTTATATTTATCTTCCCTCGAGAAATGCTTGTAAGTAACATGGATGAGAGCTTTTCAGGTCTTGTATTGAGATTTGAAGGTGCTATTATTTCACAACAGCCCAAGGAGCAGCCTTAGGGAAGTAACCCAGGGCGAAGTGTCACGGTCTACTTTTTAAGTTAACAAAACTCCAGCTTCATGGAGCTCCCTCCAAGATGTCTCCAGAGTTCTTACTGCCCCAGGGTCTCAGCATCACTCTTGTGGGTAGTCTTTCATCCATAGTAAACCTAAGAGTACCACTGAGTTTAGAATCAAGATACTTTTCCCATGTATTTTACAGAATAGTGACATTGATTGTGGTTCTCCGTCGGGATGAGTAAGCATTCAAAGGTAATTAAGTCAAGAAGCTAAATATGTTATTTTTATTCTGTCTTCATTTATGTTCTTAAATGATTTTTGGGATTACAACCTTAAGAATAACCAAAATTTTTTATTTTTTCCAATTCTCCTAAAGTTTTTAGGTTGATTTTAAAAAGGAAGGCATATAATAATAAATAATTTTAAGATACATATTTTCATAGAATCAAACATTTATTGAGTACCTGGAATGTGTTGGCATTATAGACATAACGTATATTTGTTCAAAAATTTTCCTTACCATTCTGTAGCCTATGATCTATTTAAGAATAAAGAGAATATGTACAGCACAGGGCAAGTCCCTAATGAGTGACTCTGATGATTGGACAGAATGTCAGGGAATAGCATGCTCACCTTGCATCTGTTCACTGAAGAGATGAGGTTGAACAGTTTTTAGACCAATAGAATGTTTGAAGTTGAGTATTTGACATAAAAGAAACATTTACTAAGATATTCGCCTCAGTACTTCACACTTACCATAGAAATGAAAATTTGAAATAGCTGAATCAGCTTCTAAACATTTCCTCATTAATCAGGAACAAATAATTTGATTACAGGAGTAAGTATGTGAGAGCTATGCCTGATTCTGGATCTCTGCTGTTAGATTTGATAATCTGAAAATTCAAGTCAGTGATCACTTTGCTGGGAGAAAGTATTCATTCGAATGAAGAAACAGAACTCATTGAAATAGACTGTTAGAATTACTATTAGAAACATAAACAGAATTCAGATGTCAAGAACTGGGGAGAGTTTGAGACTTTACTATACTTGCAAGCTAACAGGTTAGACTGCCACAGTTTAATGAGTGCTGGCAAAAGACAGGAGGCTTCTAGGTCAGAAGTAAAGAACAGTTGATTATTCATATGAACAGCAGCAGCTAGTGTTTCAGCATTTGAATTGGTTCCCTGAACCCAGGGTGGGAGCAAACGGGGCCATGTGACACCTTCTCATGCAATGGATTGTGTTACTGGAGAGGAATCCTCAACCTAGAAAACCTGAATCTTCTATATAGGAAATAAACAACCTGCATTCTGCTCCAAATGGAGGAATTACCTCTGTTTTCAAAACCATTCACTATATAAAAACCTTGAAAGAATAATCCAGAAAAAAGACAGTTGATATCTCTGCTCATAAGACATGCAGTGACACAATAAATCCATGAAGATTTCTCTCAAAATCAAATTAATAATTAACATTTATAAGCATCATCTCCTTAAGCATTTCACATGTGTTAATGGAATATGAATAAGCAGCCTATGAGGTCACTGTGGTTTTTCACATTTAAAAGTTACTTGTCTTTATGGACACCGGTGGAAAATTGAAGCAAAGAGATTTCAGCAACTATCCCAAAAGTTAAACAACTTTGCATTGTTGAAACTAAGCTGAGAGCCTGTTCTCATTACTATCAGTTTCATCTGATGAAATGCATCTCCTGCCACCATAGATACTAGTCATGTAGCCACGGGTGACTCACATAATTCATACAGGTTAAACTAGAAGATGGAAAACTAGGGCTCTGCTTGAAAAAAGAATAGGATTATCTATTTACTTGCATTCAGATCTGCCTCTGTGGTTTTCCAACGCAGAATATAATGCCTGCTCCAAGTTTCCAGAATTCAAGTACAATATTGTCTTTAGGCTTTCTTAATGAGCCCTGGTAACACAATATTGAACGTCAGGAAACCTGGGTTCTAGTCTGACTATATTATTACATAAAAATATTTTCTCCATCTTGGGTCTGAGATTTCTTACATGTGATACAAACGGTGTTCTCTAAAATCATTTTAAGTCTACATTCAAAGAGATTGTGTATCTCTCCTGATTCTAATATTTAAAATAATTCTGTCACTATGACAATGTTAGATGCTTAGTAGGCTATCTGAAATATTAACTATATTAAGGAACAAAGCCTTTTGAGCACAAGAAAGAGAATTCCCGTGGTCATGCTAATTGACCAGAAGGCTCCCAAGCTGAGCTTGGGTATAGCTTCAGAATTCCTTCAGAATTTCAGGCAGCTACTGGATATTGATTAGAATTGTTCTGTAAGATAAAAGTACTTTCTGCCCCCTTTGGAAGACATTCTAGATCAACACTCTTGAATTACCAAACTTAATAGAACAGTTCTGAAGAAATGGAATGATTTTCTGTTCACTTATTTTTTTTTAATGGGGAAGTTCTGGGATGAAGACGACTGTGGCTCCCTTGAAGGAACTTAAGAGTCAACTGTGAAAGAAGACATATGAGTCAAATCATGTGATATAGTGAGTTAAATGCTATAACATGGATATTTATAATTAGCGGAGATGATCAAAAGAAGGGAGACATCAAATGTGCTTAGCAGAAGACTTCAGAGGAGAAAAATTACATAGGAGAGTTTATTAATTGGCCTAAGGAAGAGAGTATTTCAACCACAGAAAATATATCAGAGGAAAACAGCAAGTTGGATAATTTCATATGCCTGGTATGGAGATGACAAAGCCAGCAAGGAACAAAGATGAGGCCTGGTCCATGGTGAGGACTTGCATGCCATCAGTACTATAGGAAATGGCAAATAAGTGGTATTTTTAGAAACAAAGAGTAACATAACCACATTTTGATTTTGTAACACTTATTCTGCCTGGTAACATGATGAAAGATATTTTAAAAAGGATAGAAACAGAGCCTGGGAACTAATTAAGAGATTATTATGAGGCCGGGTGTGGTGATTCACATCTGTAATCCCAGCACATTGGGAGGCCAAGACAGGAGGATCACTTGAGGCTGGGAGTTCAAGACCACCCTGGGCAACAAGCATGACCACATCTCTACAAAAAAAATAAATAAAATTAAAAACAGCAACAATATTTAGTTGGGTGTGGTGGCACATGCCTTGTAGTCTTAGCTACTCAGGAGACTGAGGAGGCAAAATTGCTTGAGCCCAAGAGGTCAGGACTGCAGTAACCTGTAATAATGCCACTACACTCAGTCTGGGTGACAGAGTGGGACCCTGCCTCAAAAAAAAAAAAAAAAAAAAAAAAAAAGGTTATTGTAACCATCTAGGAGGGAGATGCATGGAGTTTGACCTTGGGCAGAAGTAATAGGAATGAAGAGTGCATGGCTGAGAATCATTTAAGCACCCTAGGTTCCTAGCGGACACTGGGAAAGGAAGGAGAGAGGAATTGAGGATGACAAATTTCTGTCACTAGTAACAGAGTGTTTGGTAGAATTACCAATGAGGAGACAGCATAAAGCAAAAGGATAAAATCTGAGACCCAAGTTAAGGAGAAACATGACAAACTCGATTTTGGATATGTCCGTATTAAGATATTGAGAACCCACCAAGAAGACATAGCTGACAGAAAAATGGATTTGCAGATCTGAGCTCTGATAGGAGTTTCATACTACAGAATTGCTTCCCAAAAATAATAGTTTTAAGGTTAAGAACTAGGAAGTGTATTTTCTAAATTCCAAAGGAAAGCAGTATTTCAAGAAGTAAGGAGTGTTGAGAAATTAATAGAAGGAGAAAATACCCCACCTGGGAGTTAGCAAAAATTCCCTGGTGATCTTAGCCAGAACTGGGTTTTTTTCTGGAGTTTTGGTGAAGAGGTGAAGTTTGGAATGGGCAGGAGATTGAATAAAAGTGAATATTGTGGTCCACTAGAGCTACATTTAAATTGGGATGGTTTGTGATGAAACCAACAGAAATCCAGCTCAAAATAGCTTTTGGATGAGGAGAGTTATGATGTTACCTAACAGGAATTTAGAGGCAATGTAGGCTCTGGCATTACTTAATTCAGCATTTCAGTGTAACCAGGGCATTTCTCTTTGAGCTTTGCCCTCTTCACCAAGCCTCATCCTAAAACTGATTCTCTAATGGCTTGAAGGCAGATTATAGGAACAAGGTTTTATTTACTTATATTTCAGAAAGAGATGGAGAGAAGCTGAGATGGAGAGAAGCTGATACACCAGCATGGACTATACACTGGGTTCTTCCATTTTTTAAAAGCAAACTTTAAAGACATATCTACCCTGGTCCAATAACAATAACTAGAGAAAATTCAAGTGCTGTTAGAGAGAATCCACCTCTGAGGTTGGGTCCAGTGGAGAGCTGAACAAAATTACAGTTCCATCAGTAAAAAGGAGGGATCACAACATGCTGGGGAGGCGACCAAGAGTGTCCATTTTAAGCGATGAAGGGGAGAAAAAACCGATCCCTAGTGAAAGGGGAAAAATACACAAGTCACTGGATATTGCGCTGTGTTTTGTTCTTTTCCCCATGGTTGTTTTGTGAGATTTGAGCAATGTTTCTGCATGAAGAAATGTGTCAAGGAGGGGGAGGTTGAAGGTGGAATAGAGATAGTGTGATCTCTGGAATAAAGCCTCCGGGCTGACAGGGCCTGACGGGGTGCATAGCACAGCAGAGATCTCCAATGAGGAGGAGGGACTGATGGGCACGCAGATGTATTTAAGGTTTGGGGGAAAGTTGGGAATGATGTTGTGAAATTCCTGACCCCTGATGGCCTTTATTTTTCCTGTAAAGCAGAAAGGGGCAATAGCCATTTGGGAAGAGTGATGGGCAAATGGGTACTAAGCAATAATAAAAAAAAAAAAAGTTCTCTTTGCTTCCACTTGTAATCTGTCTTCCAGCTCTAAGTCTGAGTGTCAGTGTGACACCCTTCACCTTCCCGCCATGCTCTTTGGCCCACCCTGTCTCACAGTTTTTCTCTTGGGCCACTTTGGTGCGATCAGCTTGAATCCTGCGCCCTTCCCTGCCTGCTTTAGCGCCTTCTGCCTCCTCTAATTTCCTGCTCTTTGTCCCCTTTGATTTCCCTCTGGGGCTTTCTGCTCACATCCATATTTCTCCACTGTCTTCTGTCACGACCTTCAACCCCCTTGTCTGAGAGAAAGCTGAAGATCCCATTTGAAGAGGTTGAAAATAATCTTATTTTATACAAAATAGCTTACTACAAAGAAAAAAAATGGTGGAGGGAGGCTGGCTTTAAGACAGACAAAAATGCCATCAAAATAACTTTTCTCAGTGTTTTTGTTATAGCTCTATTATTATTTAGCACTTGAGAAATAATGCCTTTATACTAAAGAATGGTGAGACATTTATTGGCACAAATTAAAATAGATCAAAATAAAATTTCATGTCAAAATAATGTATTTAGTGATTATAGCACTAGGTAAGTATCTAATGCTCTCATTTTCCCCATCAGTTCATAACTTTAGATTTACTCAAAATGAATGGCAATCCATGCTAGTAATTTCCTCATTTGCCTAAAGTATTTACTAGTAGTAGAGTAAAATCTTTGACTATTCTCCATAGGTTTTTCATTTGGGCAAATACTACTTTCAATATGACATTATAGAAACAGCTGGATATTTCAGTTCATAAAGTGTTTTTGAAATAGACAAAAGAGTAAATTTTGGAGTGGGCCCATTTTGCTCTCTTTTTATAGGAAATGGACATAGACTTATTCTCCTTTCACTGGTAGCATGACCTACATAAATTGTGTGTGGCTGTGATTTTCTCATTTTCCCCAGTGAGACGGAAAAAGTTCCCCTCCCCCATTGCCCTCCTGCTGCCACAAAAGGGGAAAAAATGATCACAGGAGCTTTGAATACAATTTTTTTGAGCTTGTTTTTTTTCCTCACCTTAGGTGACCAGATCGATAGACCATCCAGCAGCTGAGAAAATATCAGATGACTGGCATACAGCCAGAGGCAGTTTCTGTTGTGCAGTGAGAGTCCATTCTGATATCACAAAATTGGAAATAAATGGTATATAAGGAGATACTCATATCTCAATAAATTTTAAAAGGAAATGCAGACGTCAAAATGTGTCATAGTAACACTAATGTCAGAATTCCTTTTCCACAAAAATCCAATATAATAACACAGAGTTTCCAAGGCCATGAGAGGTTTCCCATATTTAAAAGTTATTTGTCTGTGTGAATGGTTATTAATATACAATACCTGCCATGTGGTCAATGCTACTCTATTGGGCTATGATAAAGATGGCTGCTCCCATGCCTAACCTTTTTACAACAAGTGGCTTATGTACACTGGGTATCAAAATGGAACATCTACCATAAAAACCAGTATGTTGCAACACAGTTTTTCTTCTTCCCTTCCTGTCTGCATAAGAGACTTAGTTCATGAAACTTAACTAACTCTCAGAAAGGGGAGGGGACTGATATGTCTAACCTTCTTCTCCATTCCAGAAACCTTTTTCCCCCATTCCAGTATCCATTTATTTAAGAGCATTTGTTGAGCTTCTAGATTAGATAAGGCATCACAGAAACAAACAAACAAATGAACAACAACAACAAAAATAATCACAAAATCTCAGGGAGGTAGGAATATTAAAGCCAGCTTCTGGGCCCAGAATATGCATCTATATCTTATTCATTTGACTTTTACTAGTTTGTTTTAGTTTTTTAAAAACTAAGTTGTTACTTTTCTGGAAAGTCTTAGTTGACATCATTGCCATTGCCCTTCTAAAAAATTCTGTGAAAAGTGTCTTCCTTACATGTTTTTATGTTTTGATTTTACCATAATTTGTAGGGAAAATAATAATAATAGCAACAGCAATCAACATGTATTGTTCAATACTTCATGTATAGCAGTAAGTACTCTATTTGCACTATTTCATTTAATGCTGGCAACAACCACTTCTTCGGTGAGACTGCCACTCAGTTCTCTGTGGAGATGATAGCAATTCATGGGACTCAGAGTGTCCCCTGTGAGGTGAGCCTTTCTCAGCTGCCTCAACACTGCAAACCGTTCCAGGAATGGCGGCATTGTCAAGGAGGCCTCAGCTCATGCATTTGGTCACCACATCAAACCCTGGAGGAAAAATGAGTGGCTAAGCCCTTACACTTTCCAATGTGAGCTGACTAGCCACCTTCCTGTAAATATAAGAGTCTCTCAGGACTGTGCTATGATACCTTAAGTCCCTGTTTAGCTCAGTTACATTAAAAAGGTTTTCCAAATTTATTCAGCTACTTTGATCACTCTTTAGAATTCATCCTTCTAGAACTTGTAGGCATTAAGGAAGGGATTACTAGTTACTGAATGCCGATTACAGGTATTGTTTTATTTAATATTCATATCTACCCTGTGAAATAATGCTAGTATCTTCGTTTTATATAAAAGGAACTGAGGCACAGTGGGATAAAGCACCTTGTCCAGGATTCACAACAGAAAATGGTTGTGAGCAGGATTCACGCCAGCACTGTCTTGACTCCACAGCTGTTGCTGTCTTTACCATTACATACCCCTCAGCTTTCCCATGCAACAAGGCTGGCAATGCCTTCAAATGTACTCATAGAATGAATGTAAGTTGCAGGCCCCGTGCCTAGACTCACCATACGAGGAGAAGTTCCTTGAAGGCAGAGAATGTCTGGTGCTTCACTGATCTATGCCTATAGTTCTGCAGGCAGACGGTAGCCCGTACATATCCATGACTCCCTGACAAACCAGCAATAGCTTTCCTGTGGTTTACATCAATTCACTTGAATTTAAAATTCCAGGGAAAGAAAATGTGGCCCTTCCCAGAAATCCTTGAAGTATGCTAACTCCAGTAACTTCTATATATCATTAAGAAAGAGTGTGTTTTATGGACTGAAATTTGAAAACAATTGAGCATCTGGTAAAAAGTGTAGGATACTAAGTTCAAAAATTCTAGAACAAAACCTAACTTCACAAGAACTAGTAATTATATGCCTACATTTCCTAAAATGGCAAATATACTGTTTTTTTGTATGCATCATAAAGATATTGCAAATTAACATTGCATACATAGATATATCCACTGTACCTGACTTGACTATGTCCTTGAATAGAAAAAGGACTCATTTTCTAATTTTTCTCATATTTAATACTAAATGTTCTATATTATATATGTGTATAATGTGTACACATATATTAAAATAAATATATATAGATATGTGTATATCATAATGATAAACAGGTCTGTTCCAAAGGATATACCTATTTGAAATTTACATCTAATGCTTTTTTAATGATCTGAAGTAGACAGTTACAGTATTTTTCTGTTATGAAGAATGATTTTAAGAATATCTCCACAATGTGCATTCATCAGACAATTTAAAATGTTGTTAATAAGCAATTAAAGTATCTTTGGTATTTAGATGCTGAATCCATTTGTCGAAGATAAGTTCATCTTAATGTTTTAGAGTGTGCATTATATCTACCTCATTCTTATTCCAGGAACTATGCCAAAATTCTCTCTTCAAAGAAGAAAAATAAGAGGCATAAATATTGGCTTGAAATACGATAGAATGCAAGAACTTTTGCTTTGGCAGTAGAACAGTTTTATAAGAATTGAGGCTAATTTCATAATCTTTAGCAATGCAGATATGTATCTTTAGTCTCATGAAGATTGTAATTCCTTGCCAAGGTGAGCACTTCAGGTACGTTTTAATTTTTTGACAAAATTAAAAAAAATAAATTTTTGGTTAAGAAAGCCTACAGGCCGGGCGCGGTGGCTCACGCCTGTAATCCCAGCACTTTGGGAGGCCGAGGCGGGTGGATCACGAGGTCAGGAGATCGAGACCATCCCGGCTAAAACGGTGAAACCCCGTCTCTACTAAAAATACAAAAAAATTAGCCGGGCGTAGTGGCGGGCGCCTGTAGTCCCAGCTACTTGGGAGGCTGAGGCAGGAGAATGGCGTGAACCCGGGAGGCGGAGCTTGCAGTGAGCCGAGATCCCGCCACCGCACTCCAGCCTGGGCGACAGAGCGAGACTCCATCTCCAAAAAAAAAAAAAAAAAAAAAAAAAAAAAGAAAGCCTACAATGGACACACAGATATAAATAAACAGTACTAGATTTTCATCACATAAATAATTTGAAGAAGAGCACGTTAGTAGAAAATTGTTATATTGAAATATTATTCCCTATTGAATATTTTAAAATTACTCCTTAAGAGGAGCATTTCATAGTGTAACCATTTTCAAGGGGAAAAACCTCCCACAAAATTCATGTTCAACTGACTCAAATAATAGTGTTAAATATTCATTCATTTTAATTCTACCATGAAAAAAGTTGGTCCCAGTGTAATGAACCACCACTATTTATTTATTTCAAATGCAATTTATTAAAAATGCATTCATCGCCTAAAGGCCTCTGGGAACACACATAAAAACACAAAAATACGTGAATTAAATAAATACATGAACAGCTCAACTCATTAAAAATAACAGGTTGAAAGAGTACCACATCAAAGAGAGATATTTTGTATCTTATGTATACACAATTTAATTATAATAGCTTGCTCACTGTCTGTCTCTACTGAAATTGATATAATTATTTTGTTTGATTTTGATGTTATTGGTTGAAGATGGCTGAGTAAGAACATTATTTAAGTAATGAAGCAACTATCAGCTAAGATCCAACAGAATAGCTATTAGGGAACTTTTCTGGTGCCCAAAAAGTGTTTCGGAGCCTTGTACAGAGCCACATTTAGATCACTTAACTATTTTCTTTGCACACAAGTATAATTCTTTCTCTTCTCTCTGCTCTCTGACTTTAGGTTCATGGTGGATTCTATTAACAGACTGAAAATATTCAGCATCTACACAAAGAGACAGATCTGTTCGTAGACAACGTAAGTGGAAGCCTCTTTCCTCTTTGCTTAAAGTTTCATAAGACTCTATCTGCCCCAAATATCTCCTTTGCTGGTTTAACCTGGCACTTGAATTTTCAGATGTCATCCTAAATACATGCTCACACACACAACTCACATACACAAACACACACACGAGAAAATATTTGAAACAAGTCACTATAGATTGTGTATATGACACAGGAGGGGAGGGGTGATGGTCAGCTGCCTTTTCTGTTGGCAGAATTGTACAGATGAATGTATTTGATTGTCTAGCTTTGTAATAATCAATATCTTGAGGAAACTTAACAGGTGGGTTTGGGTTGCGATGGTGGAAATGTGAAGAAACAGCCTTCAGCACTGTGTTGGGAGACTATAACAGAAAAGGGTGGGAGAAGGGACCTAAAGTAGAAAAAAAAGTGTATCAAAAGGAAAGAAAAGTAATCATTTCCCTACTTCTCAATTTTGCTTAAGGCTAACCCTGTTCTAATAACACATTGGTTTACTCATATATTTTTTACTGTGTCAAACTTTAAGCAAGAAAGATCACATTGTTATTATTTAAAAACCCTAATATCAATAGAACTTTAAAAAATTTTGATGGGCACCTGGGAACCTGACAGTAAACCATCTAGTTATTAGAGGTCTTTTCCTGCCCAGATGACTATCTGGGTCTAAAAGAGAAAGCTGCTCCCACTTGGATACGGTAAAGTCTAATATCACCCGACATGTACCAGGGAACAAAGGGGATAATGAAGGCAAGGCTTGATTTAGGACAATGGAATCAGGATCTCAGAGTTCTAAGAGTCCCTAGAAGGGCCTTAATGTCATTGATTTTAGGAATCTGTACTATGTTCGAATAATTTCACTAGCATCTCTAACCAAGTTGGCCTTCAGCATACACCTGAATACCTTGATGGTTGGTGAAACAGTAGGTGGTCAAGCAGCTAGCTCATCATGCCAAGATCCCCAGCTCATCTCTATGTTTCTTTTACTGCTTACCCTCCTGGTTTACTGTCCTATGCCAGGCCAATCTTTTTGCTGTTCCTCAAACATAACAAGCCTGAGGGGCCTTTGCACTTGCTCAGCCTTCTGCGTATGCCCCCATCTTTCTGTGCGTCTCCCTCTTTTCTTCATGTCTCTGTTCAAATGATATTCATTAGCAGCGTCCTCCTTGACTGCTCCAGCACTCTCACCCCGCTTATCTTCTGTTACTTTCTTCCAGAAGACATACTGTTACCGGGCATGTTGCATATTTAATTTTGTATTCCATTAATTTAGGACTTAATGTGTTGTCGGACAGCCACATCCCCAGTGCCTATATGGTTGCTAATTCATAGTCAGTGTTTAGTAAATATTTTTTGAATCAAAGATTGGAAGGTACCACCACCCAATTGTAGAAGCCAGAAACCTGGGTGCATTTATGTTTTGTCCTCTTTTTAAGGGCCTATATCAAATTAATTTTTAAAGCCCTACTGGTTATACCTCTAAGAGAGAAATCTATGTCCCCTTACTGCCACTTCTGTGATCAAAGCCCCATCATCTCCTGTCTAGATTAACACAACAGCTTCTAATTGACAGCAATGGCTTCCAACTTCCTGCTGCAGGTCTATCTCCTGTACATTTGTTTCTATAATGCAGCCGAAGGATGTCTCTAAAATACAAAAAGCACCATCCCCTTCCTTGCTTAAAATTTTGTAATGCTTCTCATTCCCCTTAGATAAAATCCAAACACTTTAGTGTTTCTTAGTTTTTTAAAAATCAGCAGCCTCATCTTTCTCTGAGATTTTCCATTCAAAGTACAGTCATATGCCACATACTGACTTTTCAGACTATGTATACAATGGTGGCCTCATACGATTATAATACTATATTTTTACTGTTCCTTTTCCGTGTTTAGATATCTTTAAATGCACAAATACTTACGATTGTGTTACAATTTCCCCAATTTTTCATTAGAGTCACATGCTACGCAGGTTTGTAACCTAGCAGCAAGAGGCTCTGCCATAGAGTGTAGCTGTGTAATAGCCATACCATCTAGGTTTACAGAAGTACACTCTTTGATGCTCACACTATGATCAAACCACCTAACCATGCATTTCTCAGAACATATCCCAATCCTTAGGCAACGTGTGGCTTTCTGATTAGACTCACTTTCTCTGAGCAGTCTTCACCAATCTCCCTGAACTATGTCAGCTAGTGCTACATTGTGTTTTCTTTCTTGTTGGACTTATCACATTACCTTATATTTTGCTATGGATTGGATATGGTCTGCTTGGCACCACTGAGACTCATGGTGAAATTTGATCCCCGGTGTTGAGAGTGGAGCCTGGTGGAAGACATGTGGGTCTTGGTTGGTGCCATTCTCGCTGGAGTGAGTGAGTTCTTTTTTAGTTCTCATGAGTACAGGTTGATAAAAAGAGCCTGGAACCTCCCACTTCTCTCATAGTTGCTACACATGCAGGCTGCCCTTCACTTTCCTACCAGGAGTGAAAGTTTCCTGAGACCTCACCAGACACAGATGCTGGCACCAAGCTTCTTGAGAGCCTGCAAGAACCATGAGCCAAATAAACCTCCTTTCTTTATAAATTACCCAGCCTCAGATATTTCTTTATAGCAACGTAAAACCGACTGAGATGTATTTGCTTTGTTAATTATTTCTTTGCTGCTAGTTCAATACTATACACACTCTGCCGTCAAAGAGCATGTCTGTCTGTTCATCATTGGACCACGAGAGCCCAGCATACAGTAAATACTCAATTCAATACAAATGTTTGAAAGAAGAAAGAAATTCAACCCTGAATCTCATAATGTCACCTTAATCTTGGACTGGACATTTTGATGTAGTTACAGAAATAGGATTTATTTGTCTGGGATTTCTTGATTTTGTCACTAGCAGTCTTGAAATGGTTGATGATGTCTGGGTGATAAAATGGTGTGGTCAAATAGATTGTATAAGCATTTGTTCACTTGGCATCTCTGTATTGAGAACCAACTATACATCGAGCACTTTTCTAGGTGCTAGAAGGGACTTCTAGAGATAAGTGGTGGGAACCAGACAGATAAGGTTCCTGCTTTCCAAGATTACACGGGGTAGTTAGAAAGACAGACAGTGAACAGGTATATATATAAATGGACAAGATCATTTCTGATAGCAACAGCGGCCTTAAAGAAATTAAAACAGGATTTTGTGATGGAGAGTAACTGGGAGGGAATATTTGCAGGTAGAATAGCCAGGGAAGGCTTTTTCTCCCTTAGGAGTAACTTTTTAAAAGAGTTTTAAATTTTTGTGGGTACACATTAGGTATACAAAAGACTAACTTTTGATCTGGGTGATAATATGGATCCAGACATGCAAATTTCTAGAAGGAAGAGTTTTCTTAGAAGAAGCCCTCAGTGGGCATAAGGTTTCTGTATTTCATGGACAGAAAAGGTGGTGCAATTGGAATCTGAGAGAAGAGGTGAGGGGCCAGATTATATACGGCTCTGTGGCTACTGTGAGTGAGAGTAATTTTATTTTAAGTTGAATGGGAAACCATTGGTGCACAGCCACCACTTATAAGACCAAAGTTCATCTACACAGAGTCCAATATATCTCAGAACTAAATAGTGATTCATGCAGCACACATACCTAATACTACTTCTGTGTAGTAAGTCACAAATCATTATAATTAGGAGGCTAGTGAAAATACTGCACTCTCTCCCTCCCTTTTATTTCTTTCTTTCTTTTCTTTTATTTAGTAAGCTCTGAAGTAAGTAGCCCTGGGGGGAGATCAAGTGATGAATAACCTCATTCAGCTCAAAGAAACAATAAAAAATCCCCAGTCGAATGGTTCACTGCAAATGGCAAAATAGTCATTGTTTAGTGGATAAGCTTTCCTCTCTTTAGTATCCAGGCAATGACTAATGATTTTCCTCCAAAGCTCCCACTTTTAAGAGAATGAATAAGCCCCAAAGGCCTCAGAGAGATAAGTATTACATTCCTCTTGGTAGCTCAGTTAGTGGCTGAGATGGAAAAAGAAACTGGACACTATTTCAAAGCCAAGATCTATAAACGTGATGGTAGATACTGTACTTCTGTACTCCTAAATCGTTTGGTACCCAAATGGTTTTTATGCCCTTCTATGTATTTTTCCACCTTATCCATAAACTCACTCATCTGAAGTGAGTTTGCTTAATATATGTTTCCGGGTGCCCTCCCATCAGTATAACTGCATTTCCTGTGCTTCCCAGAGGAAAACCACTCCTGTGGCCTGATCCACTGCTCAAAGAGTAATACGAAATTGGATGATGGGTGGCCATGTTGCATAAGTCACAGCTGGACCACACAGTTATTTATTTACATTGTCTTGTTTTCGAGACATAGCTTTCAAAAAACAACAACAAATTACTACAAAAAGTTACTTTAATTTCTAAAACACAAGAGCACATTGAATGCTAATATAAAGTTCAATGCATTAATTTCATTCTCTAATCTCTATTAGGAAAAATGTCATGGGTTAATATATTTGTGCCCTATTGAGAATTAAAGAGGAAACAAAATGGTTAGCATTTGTAACAAGGCCATGCATTATTATAGGAAGGCCATGCCAGGTCACGTATAATAGATAGGGCTACATTATTTTACACGGTAGCCAAAGGGGACTCAACTCAATGATGGGCAATGTTTGGAGAAATATTTGTTTTTGATGTGAAAAGGAAATAGAACTAGAGCATTCTGGTTGATGGGAACCATAAATAAGATTTTCCCACAAAGGCTTGGAAAGCAAAAATACTCTTTTCACAGGTCCTGTCGCCTCAAAGTTCAAGGACCGGGTGAAGAGATCGCAATATTTCGTGATGGTAGTGGAATACATTGCACAGATTTCATATGTTGACATTGGCTTTAGTGCTTGGGAGAAATAATCAGATAAAATTAATTACATATTGGTACTGAAGGTTTCACAGAAAGCTGCAGAGAGACTAAAATCCTAAATGGAGCAAACCTCCATATATTTTAATTCATCAGCTAAAAATTAAGATGGGTAATTCTTAAAATTAATCTGATTGACAAGTTTAGTGTGTGATGGCTTCCAAATCTATTTTGGGGAAACTAACGTGGTTTGAGATTTTTTAGAGGTGACAACTACAAACAAGCACCTTCAGCACAAAGATGAAAATTGAACATATTGTAATTATAACAATAAATATATATTAAAATTATCATTGGAAAATTTAAATAGTGTTTGGCATGTTATGAAACCCTTTACTACACATTATATAATAAAAGTCCTAGCAAATAAATGTAGCAAATTAACTAAAGAAAAACAGAAATAAAAACAGAAATAATCTGAAAACAGAAATAATCTAAAAAAATTAATTCATAAAATGGCCATTAACTATATAAAACATGTTAAATATCACCAGCAACCAAATGAATGATACCAAGTCTTTTTAAGAAAATAAATTGATAAAGATTAAGAAGAAGACTAAAGGTAGTACTGAGGTTGACAAGAATGTAAACATTTCTTATGGGGAGGATAATTCTAAACACCACTTACAGGCATTCAAATGTTGACTGCCTTTCTGGAGGAAAATTTGCCAATATCTATTCAGCAATTCAACATCTAATAATTAATCTTAAGAAATTAATGATAAAGAAATGCAAAGACATAGACACAAAGATCAGAATATTGCCTACAGTAATGAACATCTGTAAACAAGTGTCCAACAAGAAAGGATTTATTTAGACACCGATGTTACATTTGTAAAACAAAATACCACACAGCCATTGAAAATAATGCTGTATTTCGGTGGAAGTGAGTGGAGGTATGTCACCGTCAGTTCTTATGTTTTCCTCCAGGTAATTTAATTAGTAGGCACTCCTGGCTTCTCTCCATCTTGTCATATCTCCTTATCATGGAGAAATGACCGGCTTGGATTAGTAATTTTGGAAACAGGAAAAGAGTATAAAAGCCCTGTCTTTTCCTCTTGGGTGTCAGTTTTCCTACAGATAGCATTAGCTCTCTTTCACTCCTCCAATATTTGAAATTGTCCAGGCAAGACTCTTGTAGAGCAAAACTTACACCCGGCTAGGACCATCTATTGCCCGGTGGATATGCTGTTTAATTTGGGCTTCAGTATCAATAAGCCTCATTGCCTGCATTGATAAGACACCTCTTGCAACCTAGTCTTTTTCAGCATTAAAAATTACATTTCAACCCCAATCTGCCAACACTTTCATCATATATCACAGCTGTTTAGAACCTGGGTAAGAAAAAAAGTTCTTCTCAGTGGCTCCCTTAATACATCAACATAATATAACAGTATTTAAAGTGACAGAAGGGCTCACAACGTATTGCTAATTAGAAACAAACAGATATGAAGATCACAGAGTATAAGGGTTTATGCAAAATATTTTAACAGTATTTATATCTGCTTATAGATGGATAAATGCTTCTCATTTAATTTCTTGTGCTTAAGTTTGTGTGTGTTTTTAATGTTTCCTGCAATTAGATTTTGAAACTTTTCTAGTTAGATTTAGAATTTTACTTTGATAAGTTATTGCAGAATTCTATAATCTTCTTCCTAAGAGATTATTAATACACAGAAGAGAAATTTGCCCGTGTGAGATGATGGCCTTGATTCTACATGAAGACAAGGTAACAAGTTAGCAGGAGTCTCAAGTCTGTCCCAGAATTACGACGAGTCGCCATATATTTGATGAATCCTTGGTTGAAAGGACATCATTACTACCTTGTCAAATTGCTTTCTCTGAGTTTCAGCATAGGAAAACCGAGTATGTATGGAAACTTAACTGCCTGAAATATTCGTTACTCAACCAGAGCTGTGAGATGTTGTGGCCTCGTACTCAGATTTATCCAAGGCCTCTTCTCTTCGCATATGTGGCTGTTCAGAGGTTCAAATGAATGCTTCAGATTTCATAAAGCCATTCTTTAGAAATACAATTTGTTCATTAGCTACTTGAAAATACTTTAAATGTTTGCAGTTTTATTTCATAAATGTATGCATTAAATTTTGTAGTGTGTTCGTAACTTCAGACTAAAAACCCTTAGTAGCACCCCATGAAGACCTTTTCCCAACTCAGTCCAATGTAGCCCAGCTCTTCTGGGTAATAATCTCTCAGAAACATATATTTGTAAACGTGCACAGAACAAATTTAAATTTCAACAACTCTGGGTATGCACACGTCAAAAAGAAATTATGGGAATATAAAAGCATAATTAGCAAAGTTTAAAAACGGCACATTTAAAAATCTTTAAGCTTCCATACAACTGCCATATTTTATCATATAGTCAATCCAATTTCCCAACTTGAAAAATGTTTCCAGTTGCCCCTGTATGATTTCAGAAATTGCATTCATAATCCTAGTCCTGTGCTCTTCCAACATGTTTAGCTATGAAGAATAAACAGCAATTTAAATGCTTGTTTCCATAATATTCTTGCTTATAGAAATTGGAAATTTTACACTTTAAGAGACATAAACATATTGCATAACATTTACAACTTCCTTAAAAATATGAAGGAACTCTTCTGAGGCTTCTTATTAGAATAGTGGATTTGTGTATCAGTAGCCAATATCTAGTGCCTTTATCTGCTCCGGAAGGAGATCTGATGCCTTCTGTTGTTTACATTATATATGAGCTTTACCAATGCACAATTGCTCAAAGACAACTTTCATAAGAAATTTCAGCAAACACACAGGGTCCCTCTCCCCTTTGACAAAGAAAGTTTCTGGGCTAAAACATACCGCTGTGCAGTTTGTATGTAGCACAACTCCAGGGGCGACACTCCTAGATTAGGAGGTGAATGGAATCCCCAGGGTTGTTGACCACAGTGCTCCAGGCAGGGCCTTTGTGAGATATGAAAAGCTTGGCAACCCCTCAACTAGTCTTTCATATCTTTCCCTGGGCCCATCCCTCAGGCTTCCTTTCAGCTCTAGGGTTCTACGACTTTTCTTTTCCTCATTTTCAAGGCCAGGAGAGGGAGAGGTATGAAAACATCAAACTACCTGTGTTCAGGTATCCACATCTCCTTCTAACCGCATACAAGTTTTAAAAAATATAATGTACTACTAGAAAATTTGAGGTACAGTAAGGCCAACAGATCAGGAAATAGCTGCTATTGAAAAGATAGTTTGTTACCCACAGGTCCCTGGAAGAGGAGGCATGCCACACCATGGTGGGGGACATGTGAGAAGGTACTGGGGTCCCTCAAGAGGCAGAAGGGAGAGAGGAAACTGTAGGCAAAAGCCTTTGTTGTGGTTTCCATGGGAAGGAAGAGGAAGGACAGGGTAGGCAGGCCCCCTTTTGGTGAGTTTGCATAATTGCAGCAAGCTCTGGGGCATCTGTCCTTAGTTGTCTGGTGTTGGCTCTGGTGTGATGAGGGCAGGTGCATGGTGGCCCAGCGTGTGAGAGCCCAGTAAAGAAGGTGGCTGGTGGTGTGAACTCTGAATGCATTTATTTGTATTTGAAATTTGAAAGGCATGCCACAAGGAGGAACTGTTATTTCAAGGATGGGGAGTGATCAGGTAAGCAGGGGTTCACGGCGGGTGACTCAGGCATATTGGATTGTTGGATTGTCCAGAACAAGGACAGCATATGCATGTAGGACAAATGTTAAAGCATCAAATTTACTGAAGCTAGAAGCATGGTTAATATAACATCTAGGGAAGACATTCTTGGGGACCAGAATCACTCCTATCTCTTCTATATGTATACCCAGTGCTAGACTTCCATTCGAAAGGGCAGAAAGCTTACAGCACACAACTAGCAAAGCCCAAAGCCAGAAGAGCTAACTCTGGTTGTGAGGGGAACCAGACACACCCAGAAGAGTTCTGAACAACTTAAGAGTGGCTGATATTACCCAGTTAGTAACAGCACTATCAAGCCAGATCTAAACAACTATGAGTAGCTTTGTATAGTACTTAATAGTTCATATAGTCAGAGGAAGCAAAGACAAGAAGAAAAATGGAAACTGGCATGAATTGACTGTTGCTATTTATTGATTACCTTTTTCAGGGTAGTACATATTGTTCTTACAACTTTATCTCATTTTACCAAGAATTTAAATAAACCAACTATGTGAATTAAATAATAATGGAGGCAATAAAAGTTATTATAGAATAACGAAAAGAAAAAAATGTAAAGAAAAGGAAGAGGCAACATGTAGGGAAAAATGTTCCCTAAGTCAACAAGCAGTTATAAGGTCTTCCTGGCCTTAATCTAAGTCCCAAATGGTCAAAGGAAATAAGCTCTCTCATGTTTTTATTATGTTAAAATCCAGTGATCTGAAAAAAAAAATCCAGGCCGGGCGCGGTGGCTCACGCCTGTAATCCCAGCACTTTGGGAGGCTGAGGTGGGCGGATCATGAGGTCAGGAGATCGAGACCATCCTGGCTAACACGGGTGAAATCCCGTCTCTACTAAAAATACAAAAAAATTAGCTGGGCGTGGTGGCGGGCACCTGTAGTCCCAGCTACTCGGGAGGCTGAGGCAGGAGAACGGTGTGAACTCGGGAGGTGGAGCTTGCAGTGAGCCGACATCATGCCACTGCACTCCAGCCTGGGTGACAGAGCAAGACTCCATCTCAAAAAAAAAAAAAAAAAAAAAAAAAATCCAGACCTCCCTAAAATGATTCCCTTCCCATTGATGGGAATATGCCTATTTGTTCAATTTTTCTTTGTTGAAATACTCTTAGATTTTATGTCAATATACAATTAAAAGCGGATAGCAAAAAAGAAACAGTAACTCTCATTTTATTTCTGGATTAGATTTCAGCATGTGGGTTGATGTTTGAGGTGAAAAGAGTAATAAAACACAAGGACTATCATTCATCCTTGCTGAAAACAAGGCTAATCAGGGACCAATGTCTGGCAAATGAAAAAGACTGCCTGATTAATTTACATAGTCTCAGTATGTTCTAAAGGACGTTAAAACACCCAACACCTTCATAGTATCTCCCATTTTTATATCGAAATCCATTTAGGTAGATTATTCTTAAGAAACTTTAGTTAGCCAAGAAACGGATGGGGCTGGTGTAATTCCCCCTAACTGCACTCTCCCTCAGGTTGTTAATGACAAATGCATTATAGTTATTTATTACAAATAGATTAAAGATGTCAGTATGGTTCCATTCATAGTGATCTTATACTTTTAAAATTCATGGGGAATTGGGCTTCTTCCCAATGCTGACAATGCACATGATGGCTTTCTGGTGAACTAGATTTCTCAGGAGTACTTTTCTCTATGTTTATTACTTAAAAAAAAGAAAGTACCATCTGCTCTTGCCTCATAGTTGTTTAAATTGTTTAGAACCTCAGGTCATAATGAGAATAATCATGGTGCACTTCCCTACAGTTAATTTCTCTGCAAATAATTAGCTACACAGACTTTTCTTTTAGCCCTGCAATGGGTGACAATGAACACAAAATGACCTGTGGAAGCTACTTGTTTCTCAGGACTGATGAACACTTTAGACCCCTCTTAGTGATCTGATGTCGTACCAGAATGTGGTTATTATAATGTACCTCCGTGTCATAAATATGCATATGCTACACAAGTAAAATTCTTTATGATCAATTTATGCTACATTATGTTATACTTGCATATATACATATTCTACTTAATCTTTCTTGGGAAACAGTTTAAAACAAGGGACAGACATAAGTCAGATTCATTTTGTAAGAAATAATAGTCTTTAAAATATAATTTCATAGGCGTTATACAGACTATATAACATTCTCCTAAATAGCTAAATAATGCAAATAGTCAATAACAAACAGAAATATGTAAAATGTTATGTCAAACATTAAATGTATTATAACTGGCTTTTAGTCTGGAATCTATAAATATCCTGAAATTACAAAAATTTGGGGTAGTTATGTGTTTGTATATTTCTCTGAGAAGACTCCATCCATAGAATTTATCAAAGTTTTTAAACTGTTATTTAATGTCAAATAAAATAAATGCAATAAATTTTAATAAAATATTGTTATTTAATTATTCAACTATGCTAAAGTTTGTTTAAAATAAAGCACTGTTTAAACATAGCAGGTACATGAGAATAGATTCCTAGGACATCTGTCTTTTATAAAAGAATGGTAAACTGCAGGGGAACACAGGGAATTTAATAAAGGAAGATAGTTATAAGTGTTCAAACTGTTAGACAAATAGACTAAATGAAGCGAAAGCTAAACATTTGTTATGTGAATACTTCTCAGCAAGAAATCTGCATTGAGTTTGTAGCTGTGGCACAGTTTCATTTGATTCATATATTTAAAATAACAACAGGTTTAAGTATATCATGTTGTTTTTGAAGCGTTTCTGCACAGATATTAGGCTGATAACTCTAGCTGGCATCATTGCATATATACAAATGACTGCATATATGAAGAGACTGAACAGAAGCGGCTTATTTCCCCTTATTCAGAACACTTTGTTTCTGTGGCTGTTAAGTTTACTTTGGGCCCATCAGTTAAATGTTTATGTTGCCATATTCATATTCTTAACATTTTCACATTTGACAGGTTCTTTATTTATTAATGAGGAGAAAATTATACTATATCTCAGTACTCCACGTGAAGATGGATTTTACAGAATCATAAGTTATTTTTTTAGAGGAACAGATTTAATCATCTGCAAACAATAAGCTTACCTGAGGGCTGACTGGGGGACTAGGGTGAGGGATAGAGTATTGTACAGTTATCATGGCTTCCCTTTTCCTGATAACTATAAAACCAAATACCTTCAAGATAACCATATCAGATGCTTCAGGGAGAAAAATTGTAAATGAGAGAGGGCAGCTTAAGTCCCCATCTTAGTTAACCATATTCTTGTCCAGCTCTGAGCCGTGTATCATTTCCTGCTGTTCACCAACACAAGCAGAGAGGCCTTTCTTCTTTATTAAAACAGCTAAAGCATTTTATTGTTATTAATATTGTTGTTATTATTATTTATATTTTTTGTCCTCTAATATTCTCATCCAGTAAATCTTATTAAGAGAAGAAATTTGAACCCTTTAACCAGCAGTGGGCCTCTACCTACGGTCTAATGCGACCTGGTGGCATTGAACTTGGACGCAATAACCTGAGTAAGACTTCTAAGAAAAAGTACAGTTGACACTTGAACAATACAGATTTGAACCGCGTGGATCCATTTACAGATCGATTTCCTCCCAAGTCAGCAACCCCTCAGAAAGCAAGACCAGCCCCTCCTTTTCCTCCTCCTCCTCAGCTTACTCAACGTGAAGACAAAGACGATGAAGACCTTTATGAGGATCCACTTTCACTTAATAGTAAATCTATTTTCTCTTCCTCATCATTTTCTTAGTAACATTTTCTTTTTTCTAGCTTAAGAATGCAGTATATAATACATGCAACATATAAAATATGTGCTAATTGGCTGTTTATGTTGTAAGTAAGGCTTCTGGTCAACAGTAGGCTATTAATGGTCAAGTTTTGGAGGAGTCAACACTTATTAAGATACCTGGATTTTCAATTGTAGGGGGATCAATGCCCCTAAACCTCCATGTTGTTCAAGGGCCAACTGTAGTTTGAACTTTACATTTGAGAGAGGGTGTTTTCAGATAGAGATTTAAACAGACGCTTGAGTCACAAAATATGTTTCAAAATGTTATTTCAAACTACTTATAACTTTTGACAGCCAACAATTACATTTTGTTGAATCTTAAAGCCTAATGGTTCATTGATTTTTTTTTTAGTCCAGAGCATTTTCAAAACATGCTTCATTAAAAAAAAATAATAAATGTCCCTAGGGCAAGTAGTATGTATATAAAAAAAGAAGAAAGTAGGTCACAAGCAGAAAGGATATAGTTCTATCTGTTTTATATGTCTGCATTCCATAGAACCTTTCTCTTGATTAAAGGGTTTTGCGACCAATATTTTTAAGAACACTATTTCAAATCCCGCACGTGAGGCCAAAAAAGGCCAAACGATATTCCCCAAGCCACGCACCTAGGCAGTTATATTTTTGGGCCTAAGGCGTTTTGTTTAAATTGAAAATTTTTACTCACTCAACTAAAAAATGTTACACGAGCAGTTAATAGTTTATAATTCTAGTAACTTGGGCTGGACACAGTGGCTCATACCTGTAAAACCAGCTGCTGGGGAGGCTGAGGCAGGAGGATCATTTGAGGCTAGGAGTTTGAGACCAGCCTAGTCAACACAGTGAGACCCTGTCTTCACAAATATAAAAATAAAAGAAAATTAGCTGGGCATTGTGTTGCAGGCTGAAGTGGGAAGACTGCTTGAGCCCGTGAGGTCAAGGCTGCAGTGAGCCATGATAGCGCCACTGTACTCCAGCCTGGGTGACAGAGTGACAGAGTGACATCGTCTCAAAAAAAAAAAATATAATAACTTGTACCTATTACCCTATTCAAGTGCAAACTATTACATGCACAAAATCCACCAGGAGAAGAATGAAGAGAAAAATGAGACTTCTTTCAAACTCAGTGAATTTCACTCAACACTGGCTACAGATAGGCAGCTCTGGGTTTAGAGACTCTCCAGCTTTTTACTATCTCCCAGAGCTAGCCAGAAGGTCATTTATATAAACTAGTCAAATATTTGTTAGGTTCTCACTGAGTTTACAGAGCTTGATACTACAAAATGGAAGTAGCAGTGTGCTATATCTTAAGGAGAAAGAGAATGTTTAGAAAATAGAAAGAATTTAAAATACAGTTCATTGCCTGCTTTTAAATAATTTTATTGTTGTTCAACTGATATTCCTTTTAAGGTCTTTCACTACTTTAAGAATCCCATGAATACTTAAGAACCTGGAGAACATAATGTTAAGTAAAATAAGTCAGTCACAACAAGACAAATATCTCGTGATCACACGCAGGAAATCTGACAAAGTTGAATTCATAGAAGTAGAAACCAAAATGGTGATTATCAGGGGAGCGGTTGGGGAGATGTTGGTGAAAGAATATACAATTTCAATTAGAAAGAAGGAATAAGTTAAGCAATCTGTTGCACAACATGTATTCTTTAAAATTACTAAGAGTAAATTTTAAGTGTACTCAGCACAAAAAGTTGATAAATATGTGAGGTAATGCATGTAAATTAGCTGGATTTAGCCTTTCCACAATGGATGCATTTTTCAAAACAGCATGTTGTGCATGATAAATATATAACATTTCTATTTGTCAATTAAAAAAATAGGGAATCAACTATTTATGAAAATGTACTCTGCTTCCTGGTTGAGTTCTATGCCTTGCCCTCACCACAGCACCACTGTAATATGAAATAAATAAAACTTGTAAAAAAGAATCTCATAAATTCTGGAGCTTCTTTCCAGAAAAATGCCTGGCTGTACAGGTGCACAAGTTGTTTAACTTACTTGCAGTGGAAGTTCTTAGGTTAAGAACCACCGCTGTATGGTTTTAATAATCACCACCTCTGAGGAGACAGAACTCAAATCTTTGCTAGGCAATGACAACAAACAGTAAACATTATCTGAGCGCTATCCAGATGTTATGTACAATGTTAACTGCTTTGCACACATTCTCATTTAATATTTACAATAATCTTAAGGAAGTTCTATCATTGTCCCCATTATACAGAGAAGGAACCTTGGGTTAGAACATTTAAATAACTTGCCCAAGGTCAAAAAGCCAGTGCGTAGCAGAACAAGAACTTGAACCCGGGTCTGGTACTATCTGGTACCAACATGATCTTGAATCTAATGCATTTAAATATAATATGACTACTATTTAAATAATTCTATTTTTGTTAATACATGAAAACACCCAAAAAAACCCATCATTTGAGGACGGGTGGAGCAAGATGCTGAAACAGAAGTCTGCACCCTTTGTCCTCCCTGCTGGAACACCAAATTTTCACAACTATCTAGACACAGAAAAGCATTATCATGAACCAAAAATCAGGTGAGCAATTACAGTACCTAGTTTTAACTTCATATCACTAAAAGAGGCATTGGGGTGGGCAGGAGAGACAGTTTTGAATCTCCGACACCACCCCTGCCCCAGCGAATCTGTACACTTTGGGGAGGGAGAGTGCAGTGACTGGGGCACTTTATAATGAACTCAGTGCTGCCCTGTCACAGCCCAATAACAACGCCCTTCTGGGCTCAGCCAGTGCCCGTGCATGGAGAGAGCATTTGGACCAACCCTAGCCAGAGGAGAGTTGCTCATCTCAGCAGATGGAACTTGAGTTTCTCCGCAAGTCTTGTCTGCTGTAGGGTCCTAGGTAAACTTGAAAGGCAGTCTAGGACACAAAAACTTCAATTCCTTGGCAACTGCTAGTGCTGGACTAGGCTTAAAGCCAGTGGACTACAAGGGCACATGACCTGGGGAGACCTAGCTGGTATGGCTAAGGGGGGGCTTGTGCCTTCCCTCTCCCAGGCAGTGCAGCTCGCAGCAACAAAAGTGACTCTTCTGTATGTTTAAGGAGAGGGGAGTAAAGAGTAAAGAGTGCTTGGTCTTGCATCTTGGATACCACCTCAGCCACAGCAGGACTGGGCAGCAGACAGAGTCAGGAGGTCCCAGTTCCAGGTCCTCACTCCTGGAAGACATTTCTAGACACACCCTGGGCCAAAAGGGAATGTGCTGCCTTCAAGAGAAGAACCCAGTCCCAGCAAGATTTATCACCTGCTCACTAAAGAGCCCTTAGGCCCTGAATAACCAGCAGTGATACCCAGGTAGTACGCTGTGGTCCTTGGGATCTGAGGTGTGTTGACTTCATGGGTAACCCAGCACATTCCCAGCTGTGGTGGCTACGATAAAAGACTCCTTCTGTTTGAGAAAAGCAGAGGGAAAAGTAAAGGGGACTTTGTCTTGTACCTCAGGTACTTGCTAGGCCACAGTAGGGTAGAGAAAGAAGCAGGCTCTTGGGGTCCTGAGGTCCAGGCCTAGGCTATTAGACAGCATTTCTATGCCTGCTGTCATGTCCTCAGAAAATCTCATGTCGAATTGCAATCCCCAGTGTTGGAGGTGGGGCCTGATGGGAGGAGACTGGATCATGGGGGTGGAGTTCTCACCAATGAGTTAGCACCATCCCCCTGGCGCTGTTCTCATGATAGTGAGTGAGGGAGTTCCTGTAAGATCTGCTTGTTTAAAAGTGTGTGGCACCTCCCCCCGCTCTCTCTTCCTCCTGCTCTGGTCATGAAAGACGTGCCTGCTTCCCCTTCACCTTCCACCATGATTGTAAGTTTCCTGAGGCCTCTCCAGAAGTAGAAGCCACTATGCTTCCTATACGCCTACAGAACCCTAAGCTAATTAAACCTCCTTTCTCTACAAATTACCAAGTCTCTGGTATTTCTTTATGGCTTGTGAGGACAGACTAATACACCTGTTCTGGGGCAGAGTGGGGACCACTGCCCTGAAGGGTGAGTGCTAGGCCTGGCAGCATTCACCACAAGCTGACAAAAGAGACCTTGGGTTTAGGTGACCATTATCAGTGGCCTGGCAGAACCCCCATGGACTAATGGTGGTGGTGGCCACAGAAAGAGGCTCCTCTCCCTATGGAAAGGAGAGGGAAGCACAGGAAAAGCTTTGTATTATGGTATAAGTACCAGTTTAGCTGCAGTTGAAACATCAGGTAAACTGCTAAGATTTTTGACTCCAATCACTGGCTCCCAGACAGCATCTCTGAATATACCCAGGGCCTAGAGGAACTCACTGCCCTGAAGGGAAAACTCCTGGGCAAGACCCAGGGCTGTGCTGGCTTCACGTCCGACCCACCACAGTCCCAGGGTGGGGCCACACGGGTACTTGCATCATCATACTCCCAGCTCCAGGTTGCTCAGCACAGAGAGACAGAGACTCTGTATGTTTGGGAGAAAATAAGGGAAAAGAATAAGAGTCATCGTCTAGTAATCCAGAGAATTCTTCTGGATCTTATCTAAGACCACCAAGGCAGTACCTCTATGAGTCTGCAAAAACCATAGTGTTATGTGGCTTTGGGTGCAGTTCCCTTAGAATACCTGGAAAGCCTTCCAAAGAAGGGCAGGCACAAACAAGTCCAGACCATAAAGACTACATAAATACCTAACTCTTCAATGCCCAGAAACTGATGAACATCTACAAGCATCAACACCATCCAGGAAAATATGACTTCATCACACCAACTAAATAAGGCAACACGGGCCAATCATGGAGAAAACAGAGATACATGATTTTTCAGACAGAGAATTCAAAATAGCTGTTTTGAGGAAACTCAAAGAAATTCAACATAACACAGAGAAAGAATTCAGCATTCTATCAGATAAATTTAACAAAGAGATTGAAGTGATTAGAAAGAATCAACCAAAATTACAGAGTTGAAAAATGCAATTGATATGCTGAAGAATGTATCAGAGTCTCTAATAGCAGAATCGATCAAATAGTAGAATTAGCAAGCTTGAAGACAGGCTATTTAAAAATATACAGTCAGAAGAGACAAAAGAAAGAAGAATAAAAGCAGTGAAACACACCTACAAGATTTAGAAAATCGCCTCAAAAGGGCAAATCTAAAAGTTGCTGGCATTAAAGAAGAGGTAGCGAGAGAGATAGGGATAGATAGTTTATTCAAAGAGACATCAGAGAACTTCCCAAATCCAAAGAAAGATATCAGCATTCAAGCACAATAAGGTTATAGAACACCAACCAGATTTAACCCAAAGAAGACTACCTCAAGGCATTTAATAATCAAACTCCCAAAAGAGAAGGACAAAGAAAGAATTCTAAAATCAGCAAGAGAAAATAAACAAATAACATAAAATGGCACTCCAACGAGTCTGGTAGCAGACTTTTCAGTGGGAAACTTACAGACCAACAGAGAATGATATGACATATTTAAAGTGCTGAAGGGGGAAAAAAAATCCCACAAATTTTTAACTAGAATATATATTCACTGAAAATATCCTTCAAGCATAAAAGAGAAATAAAGATCTTCTCAGACAAACAAAATCTGAGGGATTCCATTAATACCAGACCTGTCCTACAAAAATGCTAAAGGGAGCTTTTCAATCTGAAAGAAAAGGATGTTAATGAGCAAAAAGAAATGATCTGAAGGTATAATGCTCACTGGTGATAGAAAGCACACAGAAAAATACAGAATAGTATAACAACACCATAATGGTGCTGTGTAAACTACTCTTGTCATGAGTAGAAAGACTAAATGATGAACCAATAAAAAATAATAACCACAACATCTTTTCAAGATGTAGACAGTACAAAAAGACATAAAGAGGAAAAACAAAAACATAAAAAGCAAGGGGATGAAGTATAGAGTTTTTTGTTTTTTTTTTAGTGTTCTTTTTGCATGTTTGGTTGTTTGTATATCCAATTAGTGTTAAGTTGTCATCAGTTTAAAATGTTGGGTTATAAAATAGTATTTGAAAGCCTCATGGTAACATCAAATCAAAACAACATACAATGGATACACAAAAAGTAAAAAGCAAGAAATTAAAGGCATACCACCAGAGAAAATTACTTTCACTAAAAGGTAGACAAGAAGGAAGCGAAGAGTGCCAAAAATCAGAAAACAACAAAATGGCAGGAGTAAGTCCCTATTTATCAAAAATAACAAATAGACTAAACTCTCCAACCAAGAGACACAGAGTGGCTGGGTGAGGGGACTCACGCCTGTAATCCTAGCACTTTGAGAGCCGGAGACGGATGGATTACCTGAGGTCAGGAGTTCAAGACCAGACTAGCCAACATGGCAAAGCTCTGTCTCTACTAAAAATACAAATATTAGCTAGCCGTTGTGGCACATGCCTGTAATCCCAGCTACTCGGGAAGCTGAGGCACGAGAATCGCTGGAACCTGGGAGGTGGAGGATGCAGTGAGCCAAGATCATGCCATTGCACTCCAGCCTGGGCAACAGAGCAAGACTCTCCATCTTGAAAAAAAATAAATAAATAAATAAAGACACAGAGTGGATGAATTGTTGAAAATTAAGACACAATTATCTGTTGCCTACAAGAAACACACTTCACCTATAAAAGCACACATAGACTGAAAATAAAGGGATGGAAAAAGATATTCCTTGTTAATGGAAACCAAAAAAAAAAAAGAGCAGGAGTAGCTATATTTATATCAGACAATATAGATTTCAAAACAAAAACTGGAAGAAGAGACAAAGAAGGTCATAATATAATGATAAAGTGGTCAATTCAGTAAAAGAATATAACAATTGTAAATATATATGCACCCAACACTGAAGCACCCAGAAAAATAAAGCAAATATTATTAGAGCTAAGGATAGAGATATACTTTAATACAATAATAGCTGGAGACTTCAACATCCCACTTTCAGCACTGGACAGATCTCCTAGACAGAAAATAAAGAAAAAAAACACCAGAATTAATCTGCACTATGGAACAAATGGATCTAATTGATAATTACAGAACATTCTATCCAACCATCCAACCGCTACAGAATATACATTCTTTTCCTCAGCACATGGATCATTCTCAAAAATAGATCATTTATCAGGTCACAAAATGAGTCTTAAAATATTCAAAAATATTTGATATAATATCAAGGATCTTCTTTAACCACAGTGGAATAAAACTACAAGTCAATAACAAGAGGAATTTTGGAAACTATAGAAACTAAACAATATGCTCCTGAATGACAAGTGGGCCAATGAAGAAATTAAGAAGGAAATTGAAAATTTTCTTGAAACAAATGATAATGAAAATATAACATACCAAAACCTATGAGATAGAAGCAGTACTAAGAGAAAAATTTATAGTTTTAAGTATCAAAATAAAAAAAGATGAAGAACTTTAAATAAACTAATAATGCATCTTAAAGAACTACAAAAGAGCAAACTGAAACCAAAAGTACACGAAAATAAATAAATTTGAAATGAAGAAAATACAAGAGGTCAATGAAATAATGAAAAGTTGGTGTTCTGAAATGTGTTTATCATTTCAATTCTGTTTATAATTGACACACCTTTAGCTAGACTAAGAAAAAAAGACAGACAACCCAAATAAAATCAGGGATGAAACAGGAGACATGACAGCTGACATCACAGAGATTCAAAGGACCATTAGTGGCTACTATGGACAGCTATATGCCAATAAATTGGAAAATATAGAAAAAAATGGATAAATTCCTTGACAAATATAACCTACAAAGATTTAACCACGAAGAAATCAAAAACTTAACTGACGGAAAACAAGTAACAAGATTGAAGCCATAGTAAAAAATTGTCCCAGTAAAGAAAAGCCTGGGATATAATGGCTTCCATGCTGAATTCTAACAAATATTTAAAGAACTCATACCAATCCTACTCAAACTATTCTGAAAAATAGACGAGGAGGCAATACTTCCAAACTCATTCTATGAGGTTAGTTTTACCCTGAGATGAAAACTACAGGCCAATATCTCAGATAAATATTGATGCAAAAATCCTCAACAAAATACCAGAATACCAAACTCAGCGATACATTAAAAAGATCATTCATCATAACCAAGTAAAATTTATTCCAGGTATGCAAGGATGATTCAACACATGCGAATCAATCAAGGTGATACATCATATCAACAGACTGAAAACTAAAAACCATATTATTAATCCGATTGCTGCCAAAAAAGCATTTTTTAAAGTTTAATATAACCTCATGATTAAAAAAACTCAAAAAACTGGATATAGAAGGAACATACCTCAACACAATAAAAGCCGTGTGTGATAGACCCACAACTAGTACCATACAGAATGGGGAAAAATTGAAAGTCTTTCCTCTGAGATCTGGAACACAGCAAGGCTGCCTGCTTTCACCAATATTATTCAACGTAGTACTGAAAGTTCTAGCTAGAGCAATGAAACAAAAGAAAAAAACAAAGTGCATCCAAATTGGAAAAGAATAAGTCCAATTATCCTTTTTTTTAAGATGGTATAATTTTATATTTCAAAAATCCTGAAGACTTCACAAAAAAACTATTAGAACTAATAAACAAATGCAGTAAATTTGCAGGATACAAAATCAACATACAAAAATCAATAGCATTTCTATATGCCAACAGTTAATCTAAAAGAGAAACAAAAAAAATCCCATTTAAATAGCCAAATATAAAATTAAATACCAAGGAATTAACTAAAGAAGTGAAAGATCTCTATAATGAAAACTATAAAATGCTGATGAAAGAAATTGAAGATACCAAAAAAATGGAAAGATATTCCATGTTAATGATTGGAAGAATCAATATTGTTAAAATGTCCATACTACCCAAAGCAATCTATAGATTCGATGTGATCCGTATCAAAATATCAATGACATTCTTCACAGAAAAAAAATCCTAAAATTTATATAGAACCGCAAAAGACAGAATAGCCAAAGCTGTCCTGAACAAAAAGAACAAAACTGGAGGAATCACATTACCTGACTTCAAATTGTACTACAGAGCTGTAGGAACCAAAATGGCATGGTACTGGCATAAAAAACAGACACATAGGTCAATGGAATAAGATAGAGAACCCAGAAACAAATCCACCCACCTACAGTGAACTCATTTTTGACAAAGGTGGTAAGAACATACACGGGGGAAAAGACAGCCTCTTCAATAAATGGTGCTGGAAAAACTGGATATCCATATCAGGAAGAATAAATCTAGACCCCTTTCTCTTGCCATATACAAAATTCACATCAAAATGGATTAAAGACTTAAATCTAAGAACTCACACTATGAAATTACTACAAGAAAACATTAGGGAACCTCTCCAGGACATTGGTCTTCAGAACTTCCTTATTTTTTATTCCTCATTCTTCTCTGGATAATCCACTTACCATCTCACCTGCTTTATCCATAAAGCTTCTGCATTCCTTCTTAGAATGTTCAACTTTTTGTAATAAAAATGATTATATCTTTGGGCTGGGTGTGGTGGCTGACGCCTGTAATCCCAGCACTTTGGGAGGCTGAGGCAGGCAGATCGCTTGAGGTCAGGAGTTCAAGACCAGCCCAGCCAATATAGTGAAATCCCGTCTCTACTCAAAATACAGCAACAACAAAAATAGCTGGGCATGGTGACACAAACATGTAGTCCCAGCTACTTGGGAGGCTGAGGCAGAAGAATCACTTGAACATGGGAGGCCGAGGTTGCAGTGAGCCGAGATGGAACCACTGCATTCTAGCCTGGGCAACAGAGTGATACTCTGTCTCAAAGAAAAAATGATTGTATCTTTAATGCTTGCTTTGTGTCAAGCTCCATGGTGATATTTTTAATGTTACTACCAAATCCACTTAGGTAATTTGTCATGACATAACCATATAACATATGATTATACCATAATAATTAGTCCATCTATGTCTTCTTGTGTTTCCTTCAGAGTACTGGTCATTATTCTGGACTGAAGAAATGAAGAACTAATCCCAACAGCACTAATACACTGGTTCATTGGCTCCCTTACCATCGATGTAGACACATTAGAAACTAGTGGATTGAAAGCAGAGTAACATTTCATTCAGCTGATATGCAACAAATATTGTAGTATGCAAACACTTTTTTCCCAGAATATCTTGATGTTACCATAATTTTATATTTTTAATGTAAGCCACATGGATGATAGGGTACATTCTTCCCAAATGCTATGGTTTGGATGTGTCCCCTCCAAAATTAATTAAGAGGTGGGAACTTTAGGAGGTTAGGCTGTGAGGGCTCTTCCCTCATCAATAAGGCCCTCATAAAAGAGGCTTCACACAGCATTCAGCTTGCTTTTCCTTCTGGCTCCTGCCATGTGAGAACACAGCAATCCAAGATACCAAACCTGTATGTGACTTGATCTTGAACTTCCCACCCCTGAGAACTGTGAGAAGATAACTCTCTGCTCTTACGAATTACATAATCTCAGATATTTGATTATATGAATTACATAATCTCAGATATTTGATTATAGCAGCACAAAAGGACTAAGACATTATTTCTATTAACTTCATAAGATCGAAACTACAGCAATAGAATATTGAAGGGAAATCTATGGTAAGCATTTCTTCAATTACAGAATGGGAAGGAGGAAAGGAGAAGTGAAATAATGCCTATGGAACACCTACCACCTGTGAGCCATTGGAATAAACTAGCTGGTTTACACATATCTTCTCATTGACTCTTACAACCAGTGAGACAGGGACGGTCCCTATACAACAGATGTGAAAATAGGGCTTGAAGAGGTGAGTGGTTGGCCCCCCAGTTCATGGGATAAACAGCAGAGCTTGCCGCTGATCAAGTACTGCATTTACAAGATGCAGGAAAACAGCATGGTAAGGATAAGACAGGGGCATCCAAATGTTGAGTCCCATCTCTCCCCTTAGTCATCTTTCTATCCACTTTTATACAATGGTGTCCTTGAAAAAAACTACTGTAAAATACCATACAAAGTGTTTATTTTCTAAGCCCTACGTATTTATTTTTCTTATACATTGTAAGTCAGATATTGGGTTTAAAGGTGTATATTTTAGGAGTTTTATTTGGAATCTCAGGTGACCAGCCAGATGAGGAGGGCTCAGATCTGTAATTACGCTTAACTAATTAGAAGTTAATAGGGCAAGAAAGTGCTGGTCTTTTGTTTACAAATCATTAACAGTGTGTTGGTAACAGATCAATTAATTATCTTTTAAAACATGTGCATTAAAGTTTACAACAACTTTAATAAAGTTATTTGCATTATAGAAACAATTTGAATCTGGATGACATTTATAGGTTACTTACTATTTGGTAATTAATAATGTCTTTAAGATAAAATTATACAATATAAGACTGAGAATTTAGTCTTAGATACAATTTAAAGCCCATTCCCTAACCATGTTGTAGATATGGTCTATTCTCCGTTACAGGTAAATTACCAGAAATTGTTTTTAATGATTCTGACTGTGGAAACTTGTACTTTATACAATGACAAATCCTATACTCCTGATGTTCTGAGTAAAGGGGAAAGGTTGATTGAGAGCAATTAATTCAGAGTTCACTGTCTAACCATGAACATTTTACCTCAATGGCAACTACAGGTAATTAATTCCACATCTGAGTGGAAAATTATAAAAGAAAACTCTATCGAAGTGAAGAGATGATAAATTACAAAGAACAACAACTGGGGTAGTGCTTTGATTTTCATACTTCATTTTGTAAAAGTGTAGAGAAGGCATTTCTTTCATATCATGTTTGTTCTCATTAAATCGAAGCTCTTAAAATGATTAACAATTTAGATCACATATAATTAATGATATAGATTTATTGTGGCAGTAAACACTTTAGGGAGCACTTCTTTGATAATTTAAGCTGAGAAGTTCATAAAAATGTGTATAATAGTATATACATATATAAACATGTTTGTGTACCTATATATATTTATATATATATATGTATAGATATAATGTATGTATACTTCTAAATATATGTAAGTTGTGTCTTATTTCCAAGAGCTTACTTCTCCTGTAAGGCTCTTTCTTGATGGACTCCATCAGCTCTGCTTCACCTAACTCCTCTTTACCCATCCTTCAGATTTCAGTCCAAGCAACATTTTTATTAAAAGAGAACTTGCATTTTACCAAATGCCTCAAACATTTACTAAATAATTCAATAGACACTTACTCCTGAGCTTTAACAGAACAGTTTGTGATATCTGCTTGTCTTTTTAATATAAATTTTCAAATAGATATGTTCACACTATGTCTTCCTTTCTCTTTCCTTCTTCCCCAGAAGCAGACCCACCCAAACATTGTGATCCATCATTACCAGACATGTTTTTTTTTCCTCTTGTCCATGTAGGATCTGTGAATAATAGATATTATCTTTGTGGGTTGCTTTTGAAATTTTTACATAAGCATTACCACGACATATGTATGGTTATACCCTTATACAGAACTTATTTCCCTTTAAAGAACTTACAACATTTTGTAATTCTATACTTGTTTGAGTACTTATTTATGTGACCAGAGTATGTTTTTTGAAGGTCGTGACCATATTCATTTTGCTTATTAATTATTAATTGTTGAAAGTATTTTAACTAAAAGAAATGTTATTGGGGAAGAAAGGGGTCCTTAGATTAATGACGCATGGATTATTTGAAGTCACACTCAAACAGAATAAGCTGAATAGTAGTGTTTGGGAAGACAATCCTGCTTGTTTAAGTCTTTGGCATTTTTCTTTCAATAGCATTTATTAATCACTCATCCTATGCCTTGACATTTTGTCAAGTAATGTTGAGGCCAAAGTAAAAGGCATATTTTCTGCTCTCAAGTAAACAACATTTTCCAAGAGCAATTAGGTGTTCATCTTTGAAACCAACATATTTGGTAGACTTTAGTTAAAATTTAACATCTTCCTTATTATTTATTAAATTGGGCATAGCCCAGGTCTACGTATAAGCCCACAGTAGGTATTTAAAAAGTGATGCATGATGATAAACTACAAATCTTAATCAGTAATTTCAAAAGCATTCCTATATAGTTGCTCACTTCATTACCTGTCTTTGTTTTCAAATCTTTGGGTGACTAACCATCAATGTTACTTTTAGGGATATTTGCCTGTAAGTGACTGAAAGCCTTCCAAATATAATGATGATCCATAGCCCCTAAAGCAGAAAGTTGGTTCAAGATCATGTCCTGCATAGATGTGCAACTGGATATATATGCAGAATGGCAGGAAATCAAACAAATGAATGAGAATGCTTATATTTATGTGTTTTCCCTATAATAAGCTTTTGAAATGAAAATGTACATCAGATTTGTCCATCTGCATAATGAAGGGGAAAATTTAATCTAATTACATTGTAGCTAAATATTGACACCTAATGCAATATTTTTAGTTTTTCAATATTTTACTTTAAAAGATAGTTTCCATAAACATAATATATTAAACCAGAAAAAAGCAATTCTCTCCAAAAATAATTTAGCATTTTTTATTCCATCATATATTAAAATTCACTAAACATAAATGCATTTCAAATCTATGGTTCAATTAGGTAATGCTATGAAAATACATTCTGAACTTCTTATAGATTCTTTTATAGAGATCACTCACAAAAATACTATTTAGAAATAATAATCTTTCTATTTAAAATGAAATAATATACATATTTTAATGTTAAAATTATCGTTATTAATAAAGTATATCACCTATTTGAAATTTGTATTCTATAATGATATTACTTAAAGCAATTATTAAAGGGTGACAAGTATTTTTGTTTTGGTGTGAATTTATTTAATATATAAATTACATTTTGTTAGAGCCTTCAATGTGAGTAACCTAATAATCTTAACAAATTTTTATTTTCAATTTAAATTAAAGTCATTCCTCCTATCTCATTATTAACTTAGTCTTCAAATTCTTTTCCTACCAAGAAAAATATATATGGACATGTTCAAAAAATAGACATTGTATGCATCTAGGACACAGATATATTTTTCTATAAAGTTTAATTTGATCAGTAATTTATTTTTAATCCCTTATGAAGACAAATCACACACACACAGCTGGGCTGTACATGAATTGTGAGTCATTTCCCTCTCTGCCATATGCTGTCTTTTTAAGGCAATATTGATGTGCTAATACAAAGGAAGGCTATGGAGGACCAGCTCCGGTTCTAATGTACAACTACTGCTCCCAATCACTTTTTTTTTGTTTGTTTGTTTGTTTGTTTTTTGAGACGAAGTCTCACTGTCTTGCCAGACTGGAGTTCAGTGGTGCAATCTCGGCTCACTGCAACTTCCACCTCCCAGTTCAAGCGATTCTTCTGCCTCAGCCTCCTGAGTAGCTGGGACTACAGGCATGCGCCACCTGTAGTGGCCAGATGAATGAACAGCATTTCCACAGGCAAGACAAGGATAGAAGAATTCTAGGCATTGGGAAGTCATGGTCAAAGGCTAATCATAGCAGAAGGGGAAGCAAACATGTCTTTCTTCACATGGCAGCAGCCAGTCCTGGCTAATTTTTGTATTTTAGTAGAGATGGGGTTTCACCATGTTGGCCAGGATGGTCTTGATCTTCTGACCTCGTGATCCACCTGCCTCTGCCTCCCAAAGTGCTGGGATTACAGGCATGAGCCACTGTGCCCGGCCCTCAATCACTTTTTAAGGATCATTCTTCCTTGACACATTTAGTTTTGAAAAGAAAATAAATGGGGGTAGTGGGAGGCAGGTAGAAAAAGAAGCAAAACACTTGAGGCTAAGACTTATGAGGAAACAAGGCACAGGTTTTATGAAAGGGAAGGGGCTCTTTGATATCCTGTGTTCTCTTGGAGAATTATGTTCACAGTCAAATGCTGTACGGACAGGCATGTTCAATATGAATATACTCAGCCAAGATGATATTGGTTTGTGTTAAGGAATGAATGACTATTCCCCCACCCCCCAAGTTTAGATCTTGAAGCCTTAATCCCCAAAGTGAAGGTATTCAGAGGTGAAGCCTTCGGAAGGTAATTAGGTTTAGATTACATCGAGGATGGAGCCCCTATGATGGAATTAGTGCCTTTGTAAGAAAAGGAAGACAGCAGAGCTTCCTCTCTCTGCCATGTGAGAATATAGCAATTAACTTGCTGCCGGAAGGCAGGAAGAAGGTCGTCACTAAGAACGGAATCTGCAGACACCTCGATCTTGGACTTCCCAGCCTCCAGAACTGTAGGAAATGAATATCCGTGTTGTGTAAGCCACCCAGTCTATGTTGCCTTGTTACAGCAGCCTGAGATGACTAAGACAGTTTGCTCTTTGTATTTCAAGTTTATCAGAAATAGAAGTTACCACTGGTAGCTAAAGACTTCTTTGTGGAACTTGCTAAGATTCCTTTAAAGGAGACTTTTGAAATCACAGTTATTATTCTCAGCACTCTCTCTGGGGCTCTGCTTTCCCATCACCTCAACTTCTCCCTGGATTTGTTTCCAGAAAGATCAAGCAGCAACTTTTGGTAATTTAGTATCTTCTTAAATTTGGCAATCTGTAGCTAAATGGTTGAAAAACAAAAATAAAAACAATAAATAAGAATAAAATTATATTTTCGGCCAGGCACAGTGGCTCAAGCCTGTAATCCCAGCACTTTGGGAGGCGGATCACCTGAGGTCAGGAGTTCGAGACCAGCCTGGACAACATGGTGAAATGCCAACTCTACTAAAAACACAAAAATTAGCTGGGCATGGTGGCCCATGCCTGTAACTTCAGCTACTACTCAGGAGGCTGAGGCGGGAGAATTGCTTGAACCTGGGAGGTGGAGGTTGCAGTGAGCCGAGATTGTGCCACTGCACTCCAGAGTATTAATAATTTATAATAGTAATAATAACTACTATTAACACTTACATGGCACTTATTATGAGTCAGGTGTTTTATACTAACTCATTTAATGCTTGAAACAACCCTTTGGATTAGATAGTATTACTAACCCTACTTTAAAGAAACTGATGAATAAAAAAGATGAGCATCTTGGCCAATAACACACAGTTAAGACACACATTTAACTTCTTTTTTTTTTTTTTTTTTTTTTCAGACAGGGTCTGGCTCTGCTGCCCAGGCTGGGGCACACTGGTATGATCATGGCTCAGTGCAGCTTTGACCATCTGGGCTCAAGTGATCCTCCAGCCTCAGCCTCTTGAGTAGCTAGGAGCACACGTGTGTACCATCCCCCAGCTAAGTTTTTTAAATTTTTGTAGAGACAGGGTCTCCCTCTGTTATCCAGGCTTGTCTGTAACTCCTTAGTTCAAGGGATCCTCCCACCTCAGCCACCCAAAATGCTAGGATTACAGGCATGGGCCACCATGTCTGGCCACATTTAGTTTTTAAAGGAGTTAAAGAATAGGAATAGTTCACTCAACTTTTCATTGCTACTAGAACTATACATATATAGATATATAGATATAGATATACACACACACACACACACGTAACTCTTAGCATGAAACTTATTTTTAATTTTTTTCATTAGATTTTTACATTTCTTAAGTACTTAGAGGTTGGTTGGTTGTTTCAGACAAGCTCTCACTCTGTCACCCAGGCTGGAGTGCAGTGGCACGATCATAGCTCACTGCAGCCTCAAACTCCTGGGCCCAAGTGATCCTCCCACTTCAGTCTCTAGAGTAGCTGGGACTACAGGCACCTGCCACCATGCCTAGCTAATTTTTTTTTTTTTATTTTTTAAACATTTTTCTTTTGTAGAGACAGGGTCTCACTATGTTGACGAAGTACTTAGACCTTAAGGTACTTTCAAAAGTAGAGAAATTAGAAAATGAAGGATGAAAGAACAAAATTAAAATTTGCTATGCTTCTCTCCTCAGTCTACCATTCCAGTTTATTCTCTAACAGCTATTTGTCTAATAACAGGATGAAAGTTTTCAAAATTTGGGCCAAATATTATTTACTTAAAACATGGCAGGTGATATGATTTTTTCTATGGAAAGCTTCCTGGGAATAAGCCCTGGCCTCATTTCTGTTATTGGAAGAAATTTAAGGTAGTTAACTTCATGCTGTAATTCAATATACAAAAATAAAGTCATATATTGAATTAGTAACTTCCCTTTTGGTAGTTGTGTGTATGGTCAGGAGAATTAATGCATGGCCTAGTTATGATAATTTTCTACTTCATTTACATCTATGCTTAGGATTACCAGATAAAGTACTAGCTTCTCAGTTAAGTTTGAACTAGATATAATTACTAAATTTTTAGTATATGTTCCATGTAGTGTGTGTGTGTGTGTGTGCATATTTTTTTTCCAATACCTAGCAACCCTATGTATACTGTGTTGTTTTATAATGTGCATGTGAAGTGTGTTCTTTGTGTCTTTCTGGTTCAGATGCCAGAACTTTCATTCTAAAGAGTTTTCTAATTTTATAAGATGAGCACTGAAAAAGAAAATGCCAAGGTGCCTAAGAATTGAACTTCAAATGAAGATCTGAATTAATCCAGGTAATACCTGCGGGTCTAAAGCCAGAACTGAAAAGGCAGAGCAAAACGAAACGATCAAAGTCATGGAGATTGATATTATTGTATGCATCCTATAGCCAGTATTAGAAATAAGTAAAATCACATGTGCAGAAAGCACGAAGGTGGGCTAATTACAAGGAGTTCAATTATAACAAGTCTCTGGGAAGCTGCCCTGCATGCTGACCTCCCCATACATACACACACTCCTTGGTTGGTTCTCTTAGTTGGTTCTTCTAGTTGGTTCCTCACCCTCTACCTGTGGGGATGGCTAAAAAGCTAAAGCTAAAGCTTTCTTAAAACAGCTGCTTGACTCAGTGAGTGAGTGTTGCAAAAAGGCAAGAATTCACATGTAAAAAATTTGTGTTAAAGACCACCAACACAACAATATTTAACTGAAGGTTTCTGCCAGGAGGAATCAGAAAGAGCATTGGAAAAAATGTCTTTTTACATAAAATGCTGTATTTGTAAAATAATTTTCTATTCACAAGTACTGTATTTCCAGAAACTTGTGAATAGAGAAAGGTTAGCCAATAATTGAGGGTAGAACCATATTGTTCAGTTAGAACATATTTAATAATATTTTCACACTTATTATTTGACACATAAAAATTTTACAGACTAGCACTTGGGGATACTGATAACCTATTTTCCACTTCAAATAGCTTCCAGGGATGCCAAATTTAAGAATGATGAAAATTCCTCAAGTCAATTTTGTTTCTAGCTTATTTTGTTAGTCTTAACTTTTTGCACCTTGACCAAAATAAAGTAGGTGCCAAAAGTGGTGGTTAAACAAATGCTAATTTGCTGTTTTTCCAAATGCCTCTGCCTCTTATCAGCCTGAAACTGACATGTATGTTACTCCATGCTCAATGAGGTTTAATCTAAAGTTTAAAATGTTTGCTTAATTTAAAATATTTTATTTATACCTCAAAAGAAGTTGATTATCTTTGAAAGTTATTTGTGGTTTATTCGATTTTTTTAATTGCCAGCAAATGGTAGCATGTCTAGCACATAGTAAATCATCAATATATATCTTGTAAATGAGGAAAGAATGAATGAATAAATGTGTTAAAGACATTTCCTATGTTCATTTGGGTTTTGTTGCCCCGTGCATAAGTTGGATTTTTTTTATTAAATAACAAAAGTTAGAGGGCTATTTTCAAAAGAAAATCAAGGGTGTCATAGGAAAAAAGAATAACAATGCTTCTAAATAAGAAGACAATCCTTATATAGAGGGTCTTTTCTGTTCTGGTTGTGGATTCTCAGAAAGGTATGTTTTCTGGGCAGTGGAAGTAATAACAATGCCTACCTCATATTAGACACTGAAGTATAAACTAAAAACAAGGTTTATTGGAAACCTGTAGCCATGAACACATATAATTGAATGAATCATATGGTTTCTGATTCTGTCTTTTACTCTCATAGAGATGTTTTATGTTGAACCAATGCATATAACTATTGATAAAGAGGAATAATAGCCCTGTAAGAAAGGTTAGGCTTGGTATATCTGAAGTTACATTTAACAAGAAGATGCAATGCTCAAATGTTGAGCTTGGGTTATATACAGATATCCAGGCTCATCCATTGTCAGTCAAAAGTGGACATCTTAATCATTCAACTCCACTTCCACTGCAGACTTCATCTATATTAATTTATACTCTTTGCCCAAGTTACAGTGAAGCTCACTTTCACCAAGACTGCATTTTGATTCTGGACCACACAAACCTGTGAATATGCAAGATCATTCAAGAATTAACCCTTAGAACCTGCATCATTACTACTTGCACAAGCCACAAAGTCGGATACTCATTCAAATCCAAGATGGTATGTTATAGCATAATAATAAGGAACTGGTTATCTAAGTAGGCAAAAGTATAGTGACAGTTCTTTAACAATTTATTCTTGATATTTAAAAAGGCTATCAAGATGAGTGACCTTAATGGCTATAAATTGCAGTGATCCGCAATAGAGCCCATACTTACTTTCTCATTTTTATTGTACTGCCAGTTCCATTTTTGTTCTCATTTAGGCTTCTCTTTGCCTGGGGGAGGGATAGCATTAGGAGAAATACCTAATGTAAATGACGAGTTGATGGGTGCAGCAAACCAACATGGCGCATGTATACCTATGTATCAAACCTGCACGTTGTGCACAGGTACCCTAGAACTTAAAGTATAATTTAAAAAAAGAAATATTGACAAGTAATCTGTATATTCCTTGCTTATGCTACAAATTGAGGGTAAAATTCCCTAGAGATAAGTTTAAGTCATTGTCTTGATATTATGTATTTGAAAACCACAAGTTCTAGTTCTTTTTTTCAAATGTCTTTTGAAAGCTCATCAACTCAAATAATACATGTCTTATAAGCGATTTGGTAACAAAAATCAGATGTCTTATTTGGTGGATTTGTTTTGTGATTATTAAGATGTTTCCAGCAAGCTGTAGCCCCCCCTTCAGATTGTTTCAACCCTTCTTTTCTAACAGATAATAACACCAGGTACTATTTTCAAATAAGCAAATGCTGCCCCAGGGACAGAAAGCAAAGATGGGCAGCAGTGAGTGAGTCCTTGTACTTGGACTTGAGTAACTGCAAAATGGATTTCGTGGTTTTTTTGTAGTTGAGTTACCTGCCTACCTGATAATACTTGGAAAAAGAGAGTCATTAGTGTAACAGCAGCAAAAGTTATTACTTGTCTCAATCTCTGCCACATTGCTTTGGCATTAGAAACTATGGTGCTGAGAAATCATTAAAGAACGTGTGTAGTTCTAAATTTTAAAAGTTCAACGAAGTTCATAGATTCAGAGAAATATAGAACAGACTTTTTCCACTCAAGTGTCAAGAGGTTCTTGACTACCTGAAGCTCTTTCTGCCTGAACATTACTTTTCCTTAGATTTCCTCTCCTCAAGCATCATGTAAATCACTAGCAATAGATGCTGAGCCTCCTTTCTTATTAGCAGTTTTATATTAGATTCCCCAATATAATCTCTGCTTTGTCTCTTTGATTGCAAGTCCCCACAGGGTGAGAAATGTCTCCAACAGAACACGCATGAACTTGGCCGGACAAGGTGGCTCACGCCTATTATCCCAGCACTTTGGGAGGCTGAGATGGTTAGATCACCTGAGGTCAGGAGTTCAAGACCAGCCTGGCCAACATGGCAAAACCTCGTCTCTACTAAAAATACAAAAAATAGCCAGGCATGGTGGCACATGCCTGTAATCCCAGCTAATCTGGAGGCTGAGGCAGGAGAATTGCTTGAACCCAGGATGCGGAGGTTGCAGTGAGCCGAGATGGCACCACTGCACTCCAGCCTGGGTGACAGAGCGAGACTCCGTCTAAAAACAAAACAAAACACAACAAAAAATATGAATTTATTTGAATTGAATAAGAACCTGAACCGGCTTTGACCTTCTTTAAGCATGGTAACTTCACAAAACAGATTCTTTTCTCTTTACTTATTCACTCGTCTCTGCCTCAGATCTACAGAATACTCATGTTCTCTTTACTCCTTCAATTCCAAATTGTATGTTAAACTTAATCTCAGGCCAACACTTTCAATATACTATGTGCTTAGGAAATAACTCATTCCCTCTTTTGTATTTTTATGAGTTGTTTCTCCACAGACATATCTTTAAAATGTTTTATTTAATCAAATTCTTCACACAAAATTACAGATACAATGGATTAATTAAAAACTAAGATTTGGAACTCTTTCAAAGTATTTTTTAAGAAATAAACTTTATTTTTCACTTTTATCTTATCAATGGCACAGAAAAGAAAATATAACAAAGAGGGAGCCAGTGTATGAAAATATTGTTTTCATTTGGGATCAAGTAAGAGTGTGGATAAGCACATTACTGGCATACTGTTACATAAATCTCCTGATTGCAACACTATAAATATATCAAATATCTGCTTGCTTATATATTTATACCATGCTTAGTTAAAAAAATGATTTGCAGCATTTATGGGACAATATAATGGTAGTGCTTAAATATTGCCTTTTATATTAAAATAGGAAAATATTAAAAATATATTCATAGTCAGATGCACATTCTGAAACCCCATTTGCATATTTATTATCCATGTGGTACTTTCTCTATATCTTCAAGACATGACATCACTATGACTTTTTTAATTTTTAACGCATTTTTAATTATTTTCATGATCATTATTTTACAACAAGCAATATCAGGATTTTGTCTCCTCCCCTTTCTTGGTCTCCTTCCTAATATTTGGGGGAAGGGCACTGAACTGTCCAATAAAACTCCACCTTTCCCTTATCAGGACTGCTTTTACAATTTATATTTATAGATTATCAATATCTTGTGGACTTAACAGAGGCACTAATCACCACTTACTGCTGTTCAATATTATTTGGCTTTTCAACTACTGATATGAGGGAAGACTTCCCATTATTTGTTCTTCTTAGTTACTTTACTATTCAGTTCTCACAGTAGAGAATTTATAATCCATAATTGTTTTGCCAATTTGCTTTTCACTTCTTCCTTCGTCTACATGACTAATTAGACAGAAACTGTGCAAATTACTGTAAATTCAAATATTAGAGCCCTAGTCAAAACTAGAAGCATGTTAGTAGTCAGTCTCTCAATAGTTTGGTAAGAACAGTTCAGTGGTTTCTACTAAATGAAATACAATGAGATGTACCCTGCTACTTTGCAAACCCTTATTTTTTAAAATACATATCAATATGTAGTGTTCGGTTAACATTCTATATGTTCTCATGACAATTTAATCTGGAAAGCATTGCTGGTAATCTCGTTAGCTATTCAAGTCTGTCTCCTGCATTAGCTATCATGTCATAGTGACTAAGGACCACCAAGCTTCAGGGATCTGATTCAGTGATATCCCCTCGGGTGTTCCCTAACTCAGGTGACTCACTCTCACCACGGAAAGTTTCCTTTGGTAAACTTCCTCATCCTAAATTGCTGTTTGCCTTATCACCTGACAAGATACTTGAAGAGAGTCTCTGATTTTGGTGTTTGTACCTGAACAAAACATTTTAAAATGATATGGTGAGTCTATTTCACTCTGCATAGGACTGCTCATATATTGACTGTGGAGAAATCATCATGCTTATCTACTCAGGTTGGTGTTAGAGAAGCGTAACGGCTGAAGTAGAGTGTTGGCACGTAGTGCTAGTCTAACCACTCCTTGTGTTCTCTGCTGCTACTGTGGGGGGTGTGTGTGGGGGGTTGGGGGCAGGTAGGAGAGAGAGTTTGTGAAGTGCCAAAGGAAACGTAAGTTAATATGGCTGATCTCTCATAAATGGCAGAATCCTCCTAAGTGGAAGAGTAGAAGAGTAGAGATAGCATTTATTTTTTAAGACAATTTTCTCGATTCAAGTCATGCATTACAAAAGAATATACTAAGTTTGTCCCTTATCATAATTCTTACTTGAGTGGTAGGTTGTGACAGCATGATTTCAGCACTTGGTAACCAGATTCGATGTAAACGTTTAAGGGCAACTGTATCTTCCACTTCTGTCAAGGCTGCATGGCTAGTCAATTCTTAAATGTTCTTAGTCATAAGAAAGATAATTCATGGTTACTACACATGATAATGCAGCTGCCTGGCCTGGTTTAGCTATAGCCCTGCTCAGCTAGGATGAATACACTACACCACTTTTGAAAATCACATCCATTCTATGAATCGAGAGTTGTCATGATTGTCTTTAGTAATTTCAGGCTTCTGATATATGACCAATAAGGCATTCATCTCAATGACCTTGTATTTAAACACTCTTTTTCTATGATTTTAATTATGTACACTCAGAGAAGGTACTCCCCCTTCTTTTATAAGTAGAGACAAGACAAGTAGGCACTTCGATTCTAGGCATTTAAAGCTTTTGCTAACCTCCTGCCTAGGCTGGAGATAATAGGGATCTTAGGAGTCCTGTGACTTCACAGCAAGATGGCCTCTGCAGAGGCCTCTACCTCTCCAGCAATAATCAAGTTGGATCCCCAGAAATGCCATCTCCTTTTTGTAAGTCCTGTAACTCTCCTCCCCTCAGTATCACTCACAGTCTTGGCATCATAAACTACCTTGGAAGCAAACAAGTAATTGCATCACACCTCCTACTGCTCATTAGGTCTGTCAGCACCCAAAGTCCGGGTCATCTACTGTGATTCTCTTTGGTAGACCTCATCTCCCACCTCTCTGCAACTCTAGAAGCCCCTCCAGTGAGCCCCCTGGAATTCAAAATTATCTGCAAAATACCCTGAACTTCACCTCTTCTCTGATCCTTCACTTCATTGTCTTGCTCTCCCCTGTGCTATGAGCTCCCCACGGACCCCATATTCCTTGTATTACTTGGATCCTAAGTGACCCAGGCATACATCTTCCTTGCTTATTTGATATTTACAAATAATTCTGAAAAAAAGCCAGCTTTGAATCTTAAGTCACTAGAAAATCGCACCTCTACTTTCTTGGTTGGTATTACCCATCTATGTTTGGGTCATTCTACCTTATTCATTAAGCTTCCAGGATCACCTTAACTCCCTCTGACACCACTCCTTCCATAACTCTTGGTGACTGTAATATCCAAAGAGTCCCTGCACTCTCCACCACTGGTCAGCTCCCCACAGCTGTGCTCCTGATCCCATCCCTTTTCTCTTTCTCAATGACTTGCTCCAGCAATTCTTTCTCCACCATCTCTTCAGTGTCTATAGTTATTTTTTCTTTTTACCAAATGATTCTTATTACCATATAAACTTGTTATTACTCCCATATATTTTAAAATATTTTTTTCCTGATCCAACTTTTTCTCCCAGCCACTGCCTCATTTCTCCTCTTCCCTTTATGAGAATGCTCCTTAGAAAAGTTATTTAGTCTGATTGTCTATTATTTTCCTCCCTCTAACTCTTGTGTTGACTTAGGAGCAAAAGTTCCTTGGGAAAGAGATGTATCTGCAACTTAAGACAATCGTGAAATTCCATCAAATTTCATAAAGTACCTATTGAACTCATAGAACTAGTTCCCACAAATACCTTGGAAAAGATTTATTTCATTATAATGTAATGCACCAGATAACTCTGCTGAAATTGCTTCCTATGAGGATTACCAGGGGCCTCCACTCTAATAAAAGCAAGAGTTTGTTTTCAGTCTTCATCTTACTTGACCTATCAACTTTGGATAGTTGATGTCTCTTTCCTCCTTGAAACATTGTTTTGACTGGACATCCAGGAAACCACAGTTTCCTAGTTTTCTTCCTGCTTCTCTGGTCCTCATCACTCCATTCCCAAAAGTTAGGGTTCCTCAGGGCTCAGTCTGTGGCTCTCTTCTCTTTTCTAGCCAGACTCAGAAATCTCCTACATTTTCAGGCTATAACTAACATCAACATCTAGGGCATATGGGCAGAGAGAGTGATAGGGCATGTTTTCAAAACATTGTGAAATTATATTGTGGCCACCTTTCTATGCTATCTCATCCTTATCCTCCAGAATTACTGCTCTAAACTTTCCTCTTCCAGATGCCCAGGGTATCACATCATTCATTATCCTCACCAAGGGATGCTACCAGACTTATCCCTCCTTCACACTACCTACATTTTGATGTTTCCATTTCTCTTCTTCTTTAGAATAAATATCCCGGATCACTGGAAGAGATTTGTGACATAGCACTTCTGCCTTCCTTTAAACACTTGGAAAAATAAAACACATGGAGGTGGAATCTATCAGCCAGCCAGGATGCATTTCCAGGCTCTTCATTTCCCCATTCAGTTCTCATTCCTCTGTACTATGAGGAGTGAGGCTCAGGCCACTGTACTATGAGGTAATGGATAGCATATCCAATACCTTAATACACATTAGGATGAGCTGAAATGTTTGAGTTTTAATTGATGTGTTTGCACTATTACTGGGGATTAAAAACAGAGGATGTACCAACCATAAAAGTGCCTAATTTTGTGATTTTCATTAATTGAAATGCCAGAAGATGAACTATTTTGAAGTAAGCTAGGTTTAAGGTGCCAACACCACATTTATGTGCTATAATTTCCACTATGGTGAGACTTGTTGTGATTCTACCTATAAAACCCCCTCTTTATGTAATTATAAGAAATACTGATCAGCAAAAATGTGCCAAGCACTCTGCTCTTTTCCCAAAAACGTCCCCTTCATTTGTTTCCTATGGCTGCTGTAACAAATTGCCATAAACTTGGTGACTTAAGATAATGTATATTTATTCTCTTCTAATTCTGGAGGCCAGAAATCAGAAATTTACTTTTATTGGGGCAATATCTGCATGGTGTCAGGGCCATGCTCCTTCCAGAAGATATAGAAAAGATTCCATTTCTTGCCCCTTCCAGATTCTGGTGGTTGCTGGCATTCCCTGGCTTATGGCCACATCATTCTGATGTCTGCCTCTATGACCACATTGCCTTCTCCTCTGTATGTTTATTTGTAAAATCTCCGTTTTTCTTTTATTAGGATAATATGATTGCACTTACCAAGAATGCTCTCTGTATCTCACGTTCTTCAACTTAATCATGTCTGTGAAGTCTTTTGTTTTTTGTTTTTTTTGGTCATATAACGTTATCAATCAGAGAATCAAGGTATTGAGATGCGTGCAAAATATCTATAAATATTATAACTTAAATAGAAGGAAAAATTAACTTATTACCTTAACAATTTTTGCCATAGTTTAGTTTCTTTCAAACTTTGGATTTCCTGGTCTCTATGATTTACCTCACATATACTTTATTTTTTCTATATAATTCAAATTATAAATTCAATGATGAATAAAAAGAAAACGTGTAAAAATATGGAATTTTCAAATACATATTTGTTGTTTTTCTATTTTGTACGTATGGCATCTTTTTCATAAGCATTAGAATATCATTCTAAAAGTTTAATGAAAATGGACAAATACTATTACTTCATTTCGACTCGACAATCCTGTATGAAAAATAATTTGCACAGTATTTCAATTCCGTTATTACAATTTTTGCCACAAGAATGAGGTGTAAGATTTTTATTGTCTAATATATATTGGGAATTAGAACTGCATGCCCTACCACCTTGACCTTTATCCATATTCTGCATTTTGATCGGATAACCTTTCTGCTTCTTCTTCCTATTTATAGCTTTACTACACCAAGAGGAACAGGTGAACGTCCAGCCAGTAAATACACAGAATAGCAGAAGGTCAAGCTGATAGAGGAGATGGCTAAATCTAACATAGGATATATGACTTTCCAATGCCAGGACCTCATTCTCATGTAAAAATTTAAATACAAATGCAAATAGCATAACTGAATTCATTCTCTAAAATTGAATAAAAGATATCTGGCAAATTTAACCCATTCTACATAAGGTTGCAATTTCCTAGCCTTCCATGGAAATATCCTTGAAAGATTACTCAAGGTCACAAAGTCAGCTTTTATTATCACTAAAGTGATGCATTCATATATTTGTATCTTAAGCCCTGTATAAGGAAAGCTATTTCAGATCTGTCATCTTTTTTTGGTTGATACAAAATCAGATTGATTATGACTTTCTCCAGCTCTTCTCTGACAGTGCGTGCTGATGGACTCTTGGCAAAACTACAGTTCATGACTAGTGAAAGACTTTACAGTTTTACTCCAAAGTTGTGAATCACTATCAGACTTTTTTCATGCTTCCTTTTAAACTCAACATTTCTCTTACAAGCACATATTTATCTATGGTAACCCTGATCTGTTACTCTTTGTTACATTATCATTCTTAGTATACTTATACTTAGAATAAGAGTGTCAAGAATTACCCCCTAGCAGTTTATTCCACTATCATTTAAAAATTAGACACTAGTGAAATGCCTAATTTAAAAATAAATCCCAATTTTTCCAATTTTGAAATACAACAACTAAGGTTATCATCTTGATATGTATACGTTGAAATAAGTAATATTATATTCAACAAATTTGTGCATAAAATGCTGCTTCAAATGCAATTTTTAAAAACGGCATTATACAGCCCAATAACCATATAATAAACCCAGATTGCGTCTATACTTTAATTCACTAAGCCTGACTCTTTTGTTTGTGAGAAAATAGTTGAGGGTGAATTAATTATAATTTAACTTTTTCAGTGCCTTCCAGAAACATACATCATTGAAGAGAGCTCCTATCATCTTTGAAAAATATGCACATAGTAAAGTGTCAAAACATAGATGTATTTTGCCTGATCTAGGAAAACTTATGATTTAAATTTTACCATCTTTGTATAATAGAACTTGCATGTACCAAAAGCAAACTCTTATTTTTACTGGTGAAGAAACAGCCTCAGAGATTAGTCACACAACTAGATACATTTCTTTCATCAATTCAAAAGACACCTAATATATGTAAGCAAAATAAAATAAGGTTAAATAGAGAAAAATAACTTTATTTATAAAAATATTTATGACAGTAGAGTGCTTCTATTATTTCTATTTCATGTAATTTTATATTTTTATTACATCATGCTGAATTTTATTAACCTTTAGGGTCAAAACAGAATCTACTCTTTAGCAGAAGAAAGCAACATGAACATAGCTGGAAGTAACTGGAACATGAGGAGTAGTTGAACCAAGATTTATGTTGCTATTCTTTACTGTGTTGAACTGTTTTAAAACTGTTTGTTTTAAAATCTAGTGGGAAGAACAGACTAGAGAAGGAGAAGCTGAACATCAAGAGAAAGAGGATAATTAGACTAGCAGTCTCTTGTGAGTATGAAGAGTATTTAATTAACACATATTTGCAGGATCTAGCCATGACCTGAAGGGAATTAAAAAAGCAGGGGTGTGTGTGTGTGTGTGTGTGTGTGTGTGTGTGTGTGTGTGTGTGTGTGTGTGTGTGTGTGTGTGTGTGTATTAGGCTATTCTTGCATTGCTATAAAGAAATACCTGATTGGGTAATTTATAAAGAATAGAGGTTTTATTGGCTCATAGTTCTGCAGGTCATGCAAACATGGCCCCTGCAGCTGCTTGGCTGCTGGTGAGGCCTCAGGGAGCTTTTACTCATGGTGGAACGTGAAGAGGGAGCAGTTGCATTGCATGGCAAGAGCAGGAGCAGGGGAGAAGAGGGGAAGGTGACACACTTTCAAACAACCAGATCTCACAAGAAGTCATTTGCTGTTGCAAAGACAGCACCAAGGGGATAGCGCTAAACCATTCATAAGAAAACCATCCCCATGATCCAGTCACCTCCCACCAGGTTCCACCTCCAACACTGGGGATTACATTTCAATATGAGACTTGAAGGGGACAGCCAAACTGTATTTGTGTGTGTGCAAGTTTAGGAATTAGGAATTTCCTTTGAAATCCTGGGAAGTTAAATCTAATTTCTCAAGGAAGGGATATAAGGAAAGGACACAGCTGATTAAATGGAAGAAAATATTAAGAGAAGAATCCGCCAAATGGACGTCTAATGAAGTTAAAAATAAAACAGTAGCAACAAAAACCAGACATACTTAAATGGTTGACAAGTTGAAATTGTTGACAAGGAAATCATGATGTAGTCAAGAAGCATGACTGGGGAGCTGGCTATTTTGGGTGATAGAGCAATTGCAGATAATGACAGGATTCTATGTAGGCTGAGAAGATGGTACCTACATTGTGGTTAGGCATTGTTCTGCCAGTACAACATCCTGCCTTAGACGTAGTAATTCTTGGGGAATTGGGATCATCACGGTGGATGGGAGGCAGGACTAGACTGTAGCTCTAGACAGAACAGTGTGCAGAGGCTCACATCATGAATTTTAGCTCCAGATTGGCTGCAAGAACAAACTAGCAATTCTGAGACTGACGGACCCTCTGAAAGAAGTGAACTGCTCCTGCAGGACCTGGGAGATCCCCTAAATGCTGTAAGTGCCCCAACAGTGGAAGTGGGAATCGTAGACCTTCCTTTCCCAAACACACACCCCTACTGGGGAAACTGAAGGTCTGTTTGCGGAAGAAGTTTCCGACTTTACCTTGGAGAGCTGAGTGAAATACAGGGGTAGAGGAAGCAGCAGAAAGGCCCTGGGAGCTTGCTTGGTCCCCAAGCAGCCCATTCCTGCCTGGCACCCCAGGAATCCAATGGGAGAGAAGCAGGGGGTAAAACTCCACAGGGAGAAGGAAATCTCTAGGTGAACTTTGTAACAATTTGAATGGGGTGAGAAGCCACCTGGCCAGAACTCAGGGGAGAGCACAAATCTGGCGTGCAGGCTCCTCAGGCCAGGGAAGAACCAAGTCCTTTTCTTCTGCAGCTGGGAGGTGGGTAGTCTGGGGCAGGTTTTCAAGCCCGTTTTGCCCTCTGCCTGGAAACAGACTCAGGGCTGTTGAAGGGGGCACAGTGGGAATGAGCAGGCCCTTAAGTTTGCATAGGAGCTGAGTGAGGCCTGTGACTGTCAGCTTTCCCCCACTTTCCTGACAACCTGCATGACTTAGCAGAGGCAGCCAGGGACCTGGGAATCTCACCCCCATTCCCCACAGCAACCCCAGCAAGACCTGCCCAAGGAGAGTCTGAGCTCAGACATGCTTATCCCTGCTCCAACCTCCTGGACCTTCCCTACACACCCTGGTAGTGGAAGACAAAGGGCATATAATCTTGGAAGTTCTGGGGCCCTGCCCACTTCCGGTTCCTCCCCACACTACCACAGCTGATGCTTTCTGGAAAGTGCCACCTCCTGACAGAACGCCAACCAGCAGGAAAATGGAGCATTAAACCACCAAAGCTAAGAACCCTCACGGAGTCCATTGCACTCCTCTGCCACCTCCACTGAACAGGCCTCCGTCCATGGCTGAGAAACCCATAGACGGTTCACATCACAGGACTCTGCAGACAACCCCTAGTACCAGACCATAGCCGGGTAGACTTGCTAGGTGGCTAGACGAAGAAGACAGACAACAATCACTATGGATGTGGCATGGGAAGCCACATCCATAGAAAAATGGGGAGATACTACTCCTACATCAAGGGAACACCTGTGGGACAAAAGAATCTGAACAACAGCCTTCAGCCCCAGACCTTCCCTCTGACAGAGCCTACCCAAATGAGAAGGAACTAGAAGACCAACCGTGGTAATATGACACAACAAGGCTCTTCAACACCCCTCAAATAAATCACACTAGTTCATGAGCAATAGACCCAAACCAAGAAGAAATCCCTGATTTACCGGAAAAAGAATTCAGGAGATTAGTTATTAAACTAATCTGGGAGCAGAAAGCCCAATACAATGAAATCCAAAAAACTTATACAAGAAGTGAAGGGAGAAATATTCAAGGAATTAGATAGTTTAAAGAAAAACAAACAATCAAAAATTCAGGAAACTTTGGACACACTTTTAGAAATTCAAAATTCTCTGGAAAGTTTCAGCAATAGAATTTAACAAGTAGAAGAAAGAAATTCAGAGCTTGAAGACAAGGTCTTTGAATTAGTCCAATTCAACAAAGACAAAGAAAAATTAAGGAAACATGAACAAGGCCAGCAAGAAGTCTGGGATTATGTTAAACAACCAAACTTAAGAATAATCGGTGTTCCTGAGGAAGAAGATAATTCTAAAAGCTTGGAAAACATATTTGGGGAAATAATCGAGGAGAACTTCTCTAGCCTTGCTAGAGACCTGGACATCCAAATACAAGAAGCACAAAGGACACCTGGGTAATTCATCACAAGAAGATCTTCGCCTAGGCACACTGTCATCAGGTTATCCAAAGTTAAGATGAAGGAAAGAATATTAAGAACTGTGAGGCAGAAGCACCAGGTAACCTATAAAGGAAAACCTATCAGATTAACAGCAGATTTCTCAGCAGAAGCCTTGTAATCTAGAAGGGATTGGGGCCCTATCTTCAGCCTCCTCAAATAAAACAATTACCAGCCAAGAATTTTGTATCCACTGAAACTAAGCATGATGTGTGAAGGAAACACAGTCTTTTTCAGACAAACAAACACTGAGAGAATTTGCCATTACCAAGCCACCACTACAAGAACTGCTAAAAGGAGTTCTTGTGTACTAAATCTTGAAACAAATCCTGGAAACACATCAAAACTGAACCTCTTTAAAGCATAAATCACACAGGACCTATAAAACAAAAATGTAAGTTAAAAGGCAAAAACAAAAACAAAAAAACTAAATACACAGGCAACAAAGAGCATGATGAACGCAATAGTACCTCACATTTCAATACTAACATTGAATGTGAATGGCCTAAATGCTCCACTTAAAAGATACAGAACTGCAGTATGGATAAGAACTCACTAACCAACTATCTACTGCCTTAAGGAGACTCATCTAACACATAAGGACTCACACGAACTTAAAGGGGTAGAAAAAGGCATTTCATGCAAATGGACACCGAAAGTACACAGGAATAGCTATGCTTATATCAGACAAAACAAACTTTAAAGCAATAGCAGTTAAAAGAGACAAAGAGGGACATTATATAATGATAAAAGGCCTTGTCCAACAGGAAAATATCACAATCCTAAACATATATGCACCCAACACTGGCACTCTCAAATTTGTAAAACAATTACTAATAGACCTAAGAAATGAGATAGACAGCAACACAATAATAGTGGGGGACTTCAATACTGCACTGACAGCACTAGACAGGTCATCAAGACAGAAAGTCAACAAAGAATGCATTTAAACTATATATTGAAACAAACAGACTTAACAAATATATACAAAACATTTCACCTGACAACTGCAGAATACACATTCTATTCAACAGTGCACGGAACTTTCTCCAAGATAGACCATCTGATAGGCCACAAAATGAGCCTCAATACATTTAAGAAAATTGAAGTTATATCAAGCACTCTCTCAGACCATAGTGGAATAAAACTGGAAATCAACTCCAAAAGGAACCTTCAAAACCATGCAAATACATGGAAATTAAATAACCTGCTCCCAAATGAGAAATGAGTCAAAAACAAAATCAAGATGGAAACTAAAAAATTCTTCGAACTTTACAATAATGACACAACCTATCAAAACCTCTGGGAAACAGCAAAGGTGGTACTAAGAGGAGAGTTCATAGCCCTAAAGGCCTACCAAAAACTGAAAGAGCACAAACTGACACTCTACGGTCACATCTCAAGGAAGGAGAGAAACAAGGACAAACCAAACCCAAATCCAGCAGAAGAAAGGAAATAACCAAGATCAGAGCAGAACTAAATGAAATTGAAACAGCAAAAGTACAAAAGATAAATTAAACAAAAAGCTGTTTCTCTGAAAAGATAAATAAAATTGATAGACCATTACCAAGATTAACCAAGAAAAGAAGAGAGAAAATCCAAATAACCTCATTAAGAAACAAAACAGCAGATATTACAACTGACACCACCGAAATACAAAAGATCATTTAAGGCTACTATGAACACCTTTATGAACATAAATTAGAAACCTAGAAGAGATGGATCCATTCCTGAAAACATACAACCCTCGTAGCTTAAATCAGGAAGAATTAGATACCCTGAACAGAACAATAACAAGCAGTGAGATTGAAATGGTAATTTTAAAATTACCAACAAAAAAAAGTCCAGGACCAGACAGATTCACAGCAGAATTCCAGACATTCAAAGAATTGGTACCAATCCTTCTGACACTATTCCACAAGATAGAGAAAGAAGGAACCCTCCCTAATTAATTCTATGAAGCCAGCATCACTCTAATACCAAAACGAAGAAAGGACATAACCAAAATAAAACCACAGACTGATATCCTTGATGAACATAGATGCTAAAATCCTTAACAAAATACTAGCTAACCGAATCCAATAACGTATCAAAAAGATAATCCACCATGATTAATTGGGTTTTACACCAGGGATGGTTTAACATACACAAGTCAATAAATGTGGTACACCACATAAACAGAATTAAAAACAAAAATCACATGATCATCTCAATATATGCAGAAAAAGTATTCAACAAAATCCAGCCTCCCTTTATGAGTAAAACTCTCAGCAAAATTGGCATACAAGGGACATACCTTAATGTAGTAAAAGCCACCTATGACAAACCCACAGCCAACATAATACTGAATGGGGAAAAGTTGAAAGCATTCCCTCTGAGAACTGGAACAACACAAGGATGTCCACTCCCACCACTCCTCTTCAACATACTACTGGAAGCCCTAGTCAGAGCAATCAGACAAGAGAAAGAAATAAAGGGCATGCAAATCGGTAAAGAGAAAGTCAGACTGTCACTGTTTGCTGATGATATGATTGTTTACCTTGAAAACCCTAAGGACTCCTCCATAAAGCTCCTAGAACTGATAAAAGAATTCAGCGAGGTTTCCAGATACAAGATTAATGTACACAAATCAGTAGTTCTTCTATACACCAAGAGCGACCAAGCAGAGAATCAAATTGACAGCTCCACCCCTTTTACAATGGTTGCAAAAAATAAAATACTTGGGAATATACCTAACCAAGGAGTCGAAAGACCTCTAGAAGGAAAACTAAAAAAACATTGCTGAAAGAAATCATGGATGATACAAACAAATGGAAACCCATCCCATGCTCATGGATGGGTAGAATCAATATTTTGAAAATGACCATACTGCCAAAAGTAGTCTACAAATTCAATGCGATCCCTATCAAAATACCACCATCATTCTTCACAAGTTTAGAAAAAACAATTCTAAAATTCATATGGAACCAAAAAAGAGCCTGCATATCCAAAGCAAGACTAAGCAAAAATAACAAATCTGGAGGCATCACACTATACTTTAAGACCATAATCACCAAAACAGCATGGTACAGGTATAAAAATAGGCACATAGGCCAATGGAACAGAATAGAGAACCCAGAAATAAACCCAAATACTTACAGCCAACTGATCTTCAACAATGCAAACAAAAACATAAAGTGGGGAAAGGGCACCCTTTTCAACAAATGGTGCTGGGATAATTGGCTAGCCACATGTAGGGGAATGAAACTGGATCCTCATCTCTCACCTTATACAAAAAAATAAACTCAAGCTGGATCAAGGCCTTAAACCTAAGACCTGAAACTACAAAAATTCTTCTAGACATTGGCTTAGGCAAGGATTTCATGACCAAGAACCCAAAGGTAAACACAATAAAAACAAAGATAAATAGCTGGGACCTAATGAAACTAAAGAGCTTTTGCACGGCAAAAGAACAGTCAGCAGAGTAAACAGACAACCCACAGAGTGGGGGAAAATCTCCACCATATATACATTTGACAAAGGACTAATATCCACAATCTACAACGAACTCAAACAATTCAGCAAGAAAGAAAACAAACAACCCCATCAAAAAGTGTGCTAAGGGCATGAACAATTCTCAAAAGAAGATATACAAGTGGCTAATAAACATGTGAAAAAATGCTCAATATCACTAACAATCAGGGAAATGTGAATCGAAACCACAATGCAATACCACCATACTCCTGCAAGAATGGCCATAATAAAAAAATCAAAAAACAGCAGATGTTGGTGTGGATGCGGCAAACAGAGAACCATTCCTCACTGCTGGTGGGGATGTAAACTAGCACAGCCACTATGGAAAACAGTGTGGAGGTTCTTTAAAGAACTAAAAGTAGAACTACCATTTGATCCATCAATCCCACTACTGGGTATCTACCCAGAGGAAAAGAAGTCATTATTTGAAAAAGATACTTGCACACACATGTCTGTGGAAGCACAATTCATAATTGCAAAATCATGGAACCAACCCTAATTTAGCCCTTCAATCAACGAGTGGATAAAAAACTGGTATATGATGGAATACCATAAAAAGGAATGAACTAACAGCATTTGCAGTGACCTGGGTGAGACTGGAGACTATTATTCTAAGTGAAGTAACTCAGGAACAGAAAACCAAACATCGTATGTTCTCACGGACATGTGGGAGCTAAGCTATGTGGATGCAAAGGCATAAGAATGATACAATGGACTTTGGGGACTTGGGGGGAAGACTGGGAGGGGCCGAGGGATAAAAGACTGCAAATATGGTGCAGTGTATACTGCTCGGGTGATGGGTGCACCAAAATCTCACAAATCACCACTAAAGAACTTACTCATGTAACCAAATACCACCTGTACCCCAATAACTTATGGGAAAAAAAGTAGTAATTCTTGCCTAAAATCTAACACCTGAAATATGCTGATTTGAATTTTTTTTAAGTACTGTTACTCAACGTACAATGACTTATGGATTTTAATGTAGGAGCTAGTGAAAACAAAGATAATGCTATAGCTTTTATTTTAAAAATAGCAATAGGAAAGACTTACTGAGACAAGTTCTCCAGTATTCCTTCCCCAAAAAGGAGTCAAATTGTTATTTGCTTACTGGAAAGAAAAGAGACTGGTCGTAAAAACTTTGATTTTGTGACCTTAAATAAATTAGACTTTCTCAGCAACAATAACAAGATTATTCTTGGCCAAATGCCTTTATGTGTTTTTCTTTTTAAACTAAATTTATAATTTAAATTACAATATCCCAATAATTTATTTAACATAAGAATGCCTTGTGAAGAATTCTAACAGGGCAAACAAAATTAATAAATCAAGACTTTAAAATGATGTTTGGAATTCTTAGGTCTTTATTTCATTAATCATACTTAAGTTTTCTAAATATACTGAAAATATAATGAAATTATGAATCCTTAATTTTCATGCAGTATGTTAGAAACATTCTAATGGAAAATAGGAAAACATACAATTGCATCAATATTATTGACTTATTCTCATATCTAGAAATATGGTCAATATAAAGTATACACATTTTCTTCTTAGATCTAGAAATTAAAGTTTTACAAAGCTTTAGGTTATTGATGGCTATATTAATATATTACAAAATGATTATTACAATAAGTTGGCATCACTTATCAGCTGACTGGCATAAAATTATATCATTATCATCTGTGCTTATTATACTCCCAGCCAGTACCCTAGCAACTAGAAGGACAGCATTTTCCCTATTACAGTTTTGATTATGCTTAGACTACATTATTCACAATAGAAATTTCACACTCTGCTAGGCATTATCAATAAATTCATCATTTACATTATAAAAGAACACAAAACAGACTAAAGATGTGGAAATTTTAATGAAGAATATGTTTCTTGAATTGGGCGAATAAAATACTTCAGAAGGTTTGTATATCTATTTGCAGATTTTGAATTCTATAGGTTCTTAGCATACAAGGACATATCAAGATACCTAATCTAAGAATAAATATGAGCCCTCAGTGGACCATCGCATTGAAGAAGGTACTTTGTAATCCACATTTCCAGCTATGGTTGACCCTTGAATAATTCAGCTGTTAGGGGCTCTGACCTCTTTGCACAGTTGGAAATTGCATCCAGCTTTTGACTCCTTAAAAACTTACCTACTAATAGCCTACCATTGACAGAAGCCTTACATTGACTGCAATGACATCATGTATGGTCTATGTTTGTGTGCGTAAGTTTTGATAAATTTTAGCTTTCTATAATTGATATGTGTATATTTTATGTAGTAAATGATAAAATAGACTAGTGTCTACATATATTTTATGGATTTATAACATACCTTTATCTTAGTTTCAAGATATTTCTTAATTTTTGATATTTTTCTGATATTTCTGTTATTTGCCTGTGAGTTTTCTCAAATTGTCACAAACCTCACTGTTTTATATATATATATAACTTACAAAGAATAATGCCTACTTTTAAAATCAATATTCTATACACCTAGGTAAGAGATAAATTATTTATCTCTTACCCAAAACCTAGACACTTATAAAACAGTAAAAATTTTCAGCAAAATTAAGTATAAAATTAGAAAATGTACAATATAAATATCTGACATATAAATATAAGTAAACAATATATAAAATAGGATTTTAAAATAATAAGAAAAAGACAGGTTTAGTAACTAAAATTATATGCCCCAAAGCTTTCTACTATTGCTTTGAGGGAGTTAAAATTTGGCTCAGTGTTTTCATAGGAGCCAAGAGAAAACAAAATTACAGAAAGCTGCTGGAGACAGGGTATTAACCAAATTAACATTAGACTGGCTGGTCAGGACTTGAACCCCTACCCTGGGAATGAGACTCAAGAGTAGTTCCTTCCATAGCTTTTCCTAGGTGAACAATGTCCGCAACAACCGCAGTTATGTCTGCATGGACATTTTGTTTAGGACATGCTGTACACTAACCTGTTCCTAAGTAACCGGTTCATACAACCTTATTTTGATCTTTATAACCCCTATAAGATAAGTAATTACTGTTACTAAGAAAGTGATATGAGGCTCAAAATGCTTACCTAACTTTTCCAAGTTTGCATGACTAGAAATTAGCAGAGACCAAATTTAAAGCCTGGTATGTCTGACTCCAATCCTCTTTTCATAACTAGTATCTGCATAATAAATACTGAATTCCATTTTATTGAGCTAATGGCAGTGGCAGCCCGTCTGGAGCAACCGTTGCAAGGATGCCAGCTACGGTGTGAGAGGCGCGGCTGGGGCTGCACGCTCCACGGAGGTGGTGTGGGCTGGGATCCCAGTGGGAGCCCTGTGTCCTACAGAGTTGATGGGGTGGGAGCCCATGCTCCTAAGCAGCCCAGTTGTAGCTTCAGACCTGGGCATCCCTGTGCCCTGTGCATACTTAACTGGGGGACCAGAAGTCCCCTGTTTCAGCAGGTTCGGAAGTGCCTGCTCCCACTCCCTGGCCTCTCCCCACTCTGGGCACCTGCTCCAGCATGGAGCAAAGTTGTGGCCAAACCTGGGCACTGTCACGACCCAGCTAGGTGTGTGCATGCTTGCAATGGTGCGGACATACCAGCCTCCCGCCACCTCAGCCCCCTCTAGGCTGTGGGCACCAACGAGCATTGGAGGGAGGCCAGGGGACTGAGGCCAGCTCTGCGTGGGCCTGTGAGTGCTCCTCGGCAGGGACAGCCTGGGTGGGTGCCATGGACGGCATCTTGATAGTGGTGGGAGGTAGACAGGTTCCCAGGCAGGAAAGAGCGGGTCCCCAGTGAAACCCCACCTTTGAGCCAGGCATGACCTGAAGCCTGAGGGCCAAGCTGCCAGTTCACGGTAGAGTTCATACCGGAAGTGAGAACCTCATTGATGCCTTTCAGCCAATCAGATGGTGCTTTTCCAGGTCCACCCAATGGCCATCCATGGACCAATCAGGATGCACTTCCTCCATTCTAAGCCTATAAAAACCCCTGACTCAGCCGGACTCAAGACACTCATTGGGATGACCTACCTGCAAGCGGTAGCTTCATAATTAGGGTCTCCTGAGAGCTGTTCTGTCACTCAATAAAGCTCCTCTCTGCCTTGCTCACCCTCCAGTTGTCCATGTAACCTCATTCTTCCTGGATGTGGGACAAGAACTCAGGACCCATTAAACAGCAGGGCTGAAAAGAGCTGTAACATGTTCCTGGCTGGCTCACCAAGCTGTGGGTGGTAGCACGCTCCTGGACTGTGGGAGAGAAGAGTGGTGACCCTTGTGGGGTCCCAGACCGCAGGATTTCATGAGCCAGAGATGCTTTAACACTATAGCCCTCCCACCTTCCACCATCGCTAGGCAGCTGCCCTATATAACAGGAAGCAGTGGTGGGACTGGCCAGCCCAGGAGCCCCAGGCTAGAGCAGTGTGTTGGGAGTAAAAGAGTTGTAACACAAATGGGCTGAACCACACCCCCTGGCAACAACCCCACCCACCCCCGCCACCCCCTTGCCACTCTGCAGGTGACAAGAAGGAGAGAAGAACGGTGCCCCTTCTGAGAGCCCAGACCTTAGGGCTCCCTGAGCCAACGCCGTGACATGCTGTAACACTCTCTTTGGGGCTCTGCAGTTCCTGGTGTCTCTGACATTTGGGGGTCACTGCATTCTCCTTGTCCAGATGCTGGTGCCCACAGCAGAAGCCACTTGCGGTACATCTGGTACAGCCGCAGCTTCACACAGAGCCGGCACCTCTGTCAGTGCCTGGCTGTGGGCAGTGGCTAGACCCCACGTTTGCTCACTCACACACCCCTTTGCCACTCCGCACCTTGCTCGTTCTTGGCAGTTGTAGGATCTAGGCTGGTAGCACAAGCCAAGAGCAGCCTGTCGAGCCAAGTAAGTCAAACGAGCCCAGTGGGTGTGAGCAAAATTCAAGCTGAGAGGCTGCTGGTCACAGAGGTTTCAAGCTGGCAAAGTTATACCTTTAGGATCCTGTGACAGAACTATTTCATACAAATCCGTATAGAACAATGATTTTGCACCAAAGCATGATTCAGAAGGAGTGTTGGGATAGAGCAGGAAAGGAGAAAGAAGGGTGATATCTATCTTTCTGATTATCTAGATTCATCTATCTCTTTGTGTTGTTTTGCTTGTTTTAATCCAAAGGAATAGATCCCTATAAATACAAATATTTTGCCTTGTGGTGGTTATTTTTCAACATAAAAGTTGATCTTCTTAAAGTACCGCCATTAGCTTTGAAGTTACTGAAGTGAAGTTTCCATTGGGTGCAAAGTCTCATTTTTTATTGAAAAACAGGATTAAAACAATAAAATATGTTGTTTTTATTCTCTCAGAATAAAATTTTCATTTTAAATTAACACAGAACTAGTTACTTCAGATGATTTAATATTTATAGCCAGGTAAATACAAATCCACATTCTTTTCAAAAGTAACTGCATGAACATATAAATGTTAGTTTAGAAACAGACTCGTCTTTCGACAAAGAGTATGAATATTTATGGATCTTAGAGCTCTTTGGAGATTCGAAGACAAAAATCCCTTGTCCCTGCATTCTTAAGCACAATAAAAAGGACAACAATATTTCATTAATTCTGTCTATTTTGCATCTAAGGTCAGTATGGATCAGTGAACTGGCCAGGCACACAAGTTAAATTATCTGTTCTTTGAATTCTCAATCAACAAATACTTAACAGTGCACCCTTGCCAATACAATCTCACAAGTTTATGACGTGGCAACTGCCCTCAAGCAAGCTAAGGGGGACACGACAAATAGACTTACATAAGTCTTTATCATTAATTAAATTTCATTTCAAGAATGGTCACAAGGGAGTATTTAGATGTATCAAATTAATAAACTCCATGAAAAGTGAGGAATATTGGGTGAAATTGGACTATTAGAGACTAGGGCTCCCTGAAAACGTGATTTGAAGGCTGAAGGGCTTGGAATAGAGAAAAAGAAGCAAGGCTGAGAGGAGGCAGTCGTAGGAGTGAGTGTCCTTACCAAGTTGAAGATAACTAGAAGAACAGTAGTAAAGCATCTATGAAGTGACTAGGTGTACACCGCTGTAGACTGGGACAGGGCAGAAGGGCTTTGCATGCTAGGCTAAGGGCAAAACTTTATTCTGCAAGTTGCATGTGCCGTCTGAAGGATATTGAGAAAAAAAAAAAAGAAAAAAATGATATGATGAAAATAATTTGCATAGGAAGAAGAGGAGTATATCAACAAGGAGACCCATCATGAAGCTATTTCTGACACAGGAGAATTAAAATTCAAAATTTTGGGATTGAATTAGACAAAAGCAGTAGTAAACTTCTCTTCAATTACAAGAGAGAGTACAATGTTTGGGAGGCCAAGGCAGGTGGATCACTTGAGGTCAGTTCAAGACCAGCCTGGTCAACATGGTAAAGCCCTGTCTCTACTAAAACTACAAAAATTAGCCAGGCGCAGTGACACATGCCTGTAATCCTAGCTACTTGGGAGGCTGAGGCACGAGAATCGCTTGAACCCGGAAGGCGGAGTTTGCAGTGAGCCGAGATCCCACCACTGCACTCTGGCCTGGGCGACAGAGTGAGACTCTGTCTCAAAAAATATATATAAAAATGAAAAAAGAGTACAATGTACACTTGTTTGGTCTGAAAGATGATGTGATACATATAAAATGTATAGTGTTAGACAAATATGCAAATGCAAAAAGCTTATAGCCAGTAAACGATATCATGGAGAGGGTTCTGTGAAGAATAGGCTAGGAATGGAGTTATCAATTAACCCTAGTTATCACTCCTTCCTTCATTACATTATTTCCAGCTGATCTTCCCCCTAAATATCTCATTTTCAAATAAGGGTAAAGGAACATCAAATAATCTGTTTATAATGAGCACGCTACCAGGTGCAAAACATCCCTTAACCTACAGACAACATTTAATGAACTCAGGTTGTGTGCAATTAAAATAGCAAGCAGCTTTATTTTTCCCTATAAGATCAAAGTATATTTGCCTTAGAAATAAAAGATTCCATCATTTGGCACCTCTGTTATTAAAGATTGACATTTGAGATTTCCGTGGCCTCATATATTTTAAGGGGTCAGGGGTGGTGAACAATATTTTACACACTGAGCGCTAGAAATTGCACTGTAGTAAGATTCTGTCATTTCAAATGTTATCTTTTGCTGAGAGCTGGCATCGAGTTTTTTTTTTTTTTTTTTTTTTTGAGACGGAGTCTCGCTCTGTCACCCAGGCTGGAGTGCAGTGACGCCATCTCGGCTCACTGCAAGCTCCGCCTCCTGGGTTCACGCCATTCTCCTGCCTCAGCCTCCCGAGTAGCTGGGACTACAAGCGCCCACCACCACGCACAGCTAATTCTTTTTTTTGTATTTTTAGTAGAGACAGGGTTTCACCGTGTTAGCCAGGATGGTCTCGATCTCCTGACCTCGTGATCCGCCCGCCTCGGCCTCCCAAAGTGCTGGGATTACAGGCATGAGCCACTGCACCCAGCTGGCATCAATGAATTTTAATAGTGAATTTAAAAACAGAAATTGTGATTCTGAAAAAAACATTAAGAAAATAAGATACTTTGAAAAAAACTGTCTTGTCCTGCAGAGGCCCCTTTGATTTGTTACATGGGATTTTTGTCAATTATAGGAGCCAGGGTAGCTTTTAGTTATGCCTCATACTGAGGAAAAAGAAAAATATTTGAATTATGAACTCAAGGAGTTAAATTTTTCTCATTTAAGATTCAGGTGTTATTTACCAGACCCGACTCTGGAATGAGAATATGATCATTAAGTTTCTCTACTTCTAAAAGTGTTAGAAAGATATACATGTAAAAATACACTTAGCTGTGTGTTTAATTTTGTGATTCAAAACTGTATTCTTTCATGAGGGCTCTAACAATCTAGAATTGTGTTGTCTGGTCTGATCCGTCGTGACATCCGTGCCAACCGATCAGGTAGCCTATTGAGAATTTGAGATGTGACATTTGAGAATTTGAAATGTGACAAGTGCAAGTAAAGACTTTGCAAATTTGTTTAATTTAAATTAATTTTAATAGTCACATGAGGCTAGTGATGACCATGTGGGACAGTATATGGGAGATGGGACAAATGGTCATAGTCATGATAGCCAGCTGGCTCTGCCTGGGTTCTAAACCGGGCTTCACAATCACTCCTAGTGCCTCTAGGGAACGAGAGAAAGCGTTCAGGACCCTAAATTCAATTATTAATATATCTTTCTGCTCTTGCAATTATTAAGTTTAAAATTAGCCCCTCTTCTCCCTCAACCCATTCCCATTTTCAGTGGATTCCCAATCAGTAATTGAACTGTAGGTTTGCTACTTCAAACAGGACAGATAAATGAAATAAATATCCCAGTCTACACAGTTCAAAGCTAGAGTTTTTCTCATCTTTCTACTCTACCCCCACATCACTCCCTTTGATCAGTCCATCATCACTTATTTCTTGGAACAACTACTACAGTTTCCTAACTGGCTTTCCTATCTCCATTTCTGCTGCTTCCTCGCCACCCTCCTTGATCCTTCTTCAAAACTGCTGCTCAGTTGGTATTTCCTGAATGCAATTCCAATGTTCCTAACTGTTGTAAAATCCACTAGGACTGCCTTTTGTTTTCTGGAGAAAAAATTAAATAAAATGCGAACTCCTCAGCACAGGTAATTTTCTGCTCTAATTCTCTCATTTCCTGCCGCTCTGCAACATTTATTCTACGCTCCTTGAGCATGTAATGCTTTCCTGTAATCTTGATCTTGCTACGTACTAGATACATAGCCTTCCTTTTCTATATAGCCGTATTGCTACAGCCTCTTCCTCCCAGTCCTCACCCTTCAACTCCTTGCCTCCACTTTGACACGAACACAAACCACTACCACTACCACCACCACCGCCGCCGCCGCCGCCGCCACCATTATTTCAGTTACATACATCTACTGTGGTTCAAGAAATGCCTTCTCCAGAAAATGTTGCTTTAGCCCTCAAGGATGACATGGTTTCCCACCTCTCTACTTCCTACTCACTATTTTCAGACTTCTACCACAATGAACTGAAATTGTTAAATGTGTATGTTCCCACCAGCAGCCTGCAGGCAACTAGGAAACAGGAACTTAATATTCCCTCCTACATTTCTGGTGCATGAGACCATGTACCTATCCTACCCAAGAGTTGTTAAATCCATGAGTAAATGACATAATTAAAACAAACTGAGGCAGAGGATTTAGACATAAAAAGAAAATTAGAATACTACAGAGATAAATAAAATTCTTTGTGTATTCAAAGCGTCCTATTTGGGGGTCCTAAAACAACATGATTTTGCTTATATATATGTGTACGTGTATGTGCACATGTGTATATGCAAATACACACATGTATTTATATTCGATTGTTCCTGGAAAGCATGTAAACATGATTTGAAGCTATAAACATGCCAGAAACATTTTCTTGGAAGAATGAACTAAACCAGTTACAATGTTATAAAATACGCATCCTTGCTGGTGATCTGTACTTGCTTCTACAGCAGTGAATTTCTGCGAATGAGGAGAGGGTTCCCAGGCAAGATGGCCAAATAGGAACAGCTCTGGTCTGCAGCTCCCAGCAAGACCAAAGCAGAAGGCAGGTGATTTCTGCATTTCCAACTGAGTTACCTGACTCATCTCACTGGGACTGGTTAGACAGTGGGTGCAGCCCACAGAGGGCAAGCAGAAGCAGGGTGGGGTGTTGCCTCCTCTGGGAAGTGCAGGGGTTGGGGAACTGCCTCCCCTAGGCAAGGGAAGCCGTGAGGGACTGTGCCATGAGGAACAGTGCACTCTGGCCCAGATACTACACTTTTTCCGTGGTCTTCACAACCTGCATCCCAGGAGATTCCCTCTGGTGCCTACACCACCGGGGCCCTGGGTTTCAAGCACAAAGCTGGGCGGACGTTTGCGCAGACACCACGCTAGCTGCAGGAGTGTTTTTTCATACCCCAGTGGCACCTGGAACTCTAGTGAGACAGAAGCATTCACTCCCCTGGAAAGGGGGCTGAAGCCAGGGAGCCAAGTGGTTTAGTTCAGCAGATCCCACCCTCATGGAGCCCAGCAAGCTAAGATCCACTGGCTTGAAATTCTCGCTGGCAGCACAGCAGTCTGAAGTCGACCTGGGACGCTCGGGTTTGGTGGCGGGGAGGGGTGTCCTCATTACTGAGGCTTCGGTAGGTGGTCTTTAACCCTCACAGTGTAAACAAAGCCCCTGGAAGTTCAGACTGGGCGGAGCCAACCACAGTACTACAAAGCCGCTGTAGCCAGACTGCCTCTCTAGATTCCTCTTCTCTGGGCAGGGAATCTCAGAAAGAAAGGCAGAAACCCCAGTCAATGGCTGAGAGATAAAACTCCCATCTCCCTGGGACAGAGTACCTGGGGGAAGGGTTGGCCGTGGGCCCAGATTCAGCAGACTTAAACATTCCTGCCTACTGGCTATGAAGAGCTCAGGAGATCTCCTGCACAGTGCTTGAGTTCTGCTAAGGGACAGACAGCCTCTTCAAGTGGGTCCCTGACCCCTGCACCTCCTGATGGGGAGACACCTCCCAGCAGGGGTCGACAGACACCTTTTACAGGAGAGCTCGAGCTGGCATCTGGTGGGTGTCCCTCTGGGACGAAGCTTCCAGAAGAAGGAGCAGGCAGCAATCTTTGCTGTTCTGCAGCCTCTGCTGGTGATACCCAGGCAAAGAGGGTCTGGAGTGGCCCCCCAGCAAACTCCAGCAGACCTGCAGAAGAGGGGCCTGACTGTTAGAAGGAAAACTAACAAACAGAAAGCAATAGCATCAACGTCAACAAAAAGGATGACCATGCAAAAACTCCATCCAAAGGTCACCAATAGCAAAGACCAAAAGTAGATAAATCCATGAAGATGAGGAAAAATCAGCACAAAAAGGCTGAAAATTCCAACAACCAGAATGCCCCTTCTCCTCCAAAGGATCACAACCCATCGGTGTGCTGTATTCAGGAGACCCATCTCACATGCAAAGACACACGTAGACTCAAAATAAAGGCAAGGGGGAATATTTACCAAGCAAATGGAAAGCAAAAAAAAAAAAAAAAAAAAAAAAAACAGAAGTTGCAATCCTAGTCTATGATAAAACAGACTGTAAACCAACAAAGATCAAAAAAGACAAAGAAGGGCACTACATAATAATAAAGGGATCAATGCAACAAGAAGAGCTAACTATCCTATATATATGCACCCAATACAGGAGCACCCAGATTCATAAAGCAAGTTCTTAGAGACCTACAAAGAGACTTAGACTCCCACACAATAATAGTGAGAGACTTTAACACCCCACTGTCAATATTAGACAGATCAATGAGACAGAAAATTAACAAGGATATTCAAGACTTGAACTGAGCTCTGGACCAAGCAGACCTAATAGACATCTACAGAACTCTGCACCCGAAATCAACAGAATATACATTCTTTTCAGCACCTCATCACACTTATTCTAAAACTGACCCACATAATTGGAAGTAAAACACTGCTCAGCAAATGCATAAGAATGGAAATCATAACAGTCTCTCACACCACAGTGCAATCAAATTAGAACTCAGGATTAAGAAACTCACTCAAAACTGCACAATTGTATGGAAACTGAACAACCTGCTCCTGAATGACTACTGGGTAAGTAATGAAATTAAGGCAGAAATGACAAAGTTCCTTGAAACCAATGAGAACAAAGACACAATGTACCAGAATCTCTGGGACACAGCGAAAGCAGTGTTTAGAGGGAAATTTATAGCACTAAATGCCCACAGGAGAAAGCAGGAAAGATAAAAATTCAACACCCTAACATCACAATTAAAAGAACTAGAGAAGCAAAAGCAAACAAATTCAAAAAGTAGCAGAAGACAAATAATTAAGATCAGAGCAGAACTGAAGGAGACAGAGACACGAAAAACCCTTCAAATAGTCAATGAATCCAGGAGCTGTTTTTTTTGAAAAGATTAACAAAATAGATAGACTGCTAGCCAGACTAATAAGAGAGAAGAATCAAATATACACAATAAAAAATGATAAAGGGGAGATCACCACTATTCCCACAGAAATACAAACTAACATCAGAGAATACTATAAACCCCTCTACACAAATAAACTAGAAAATCTAGAAGAAATGGATAAATTTCTGGACACATACACCCTCCTGAGGCTAAACCAGGAAGAAGCTGAATCCCTCAATAGACCAGTAACAAGTTCTGAAATTGAGGCAGTAATTAGTAGCCTACCAGCCAAAAATGCCCAGGACCAGATGGATTCACAGCCGAATTCTACCAGAGGTACAAGGAGGAGCTGGTACCATTCCTTCTAAAACTATTCTAAACAATAGAAAAACAGTGACTCCTCCCTAACTAATTTTATGAGGCCAGCATCATCCTGATTCCAAAACCTGGCAGAGACATAACAAAAAAAGAAAATTTCAGGCCAATATCCCTGATGAACATCGATGCAAAAGTCCTCCATAAAATACTGGCAAACCGAATCCAGCAGCACGTCAAAAAGTTTATCCACCACGATCAAGTTGGCCTCATCCCTGGGATGCAAGGCTCGTTAAACATATGCAAATCAATAAACATAATCCATCACATAAACAGAACCAATGACAAAAACCAGATGATTATCTCAATAGATGCAGAAAAGGCCTTCAATAAAATTCAACACCCCTTCATGCTAAAAACACTCAATAAACTAGGTACTGATGGAACATATCTCAAAATAATAAGAGCTATTTATGGCAAACCCACAGCCAATATCATACTGAATGGGCAAACGCTGGAAGCATTTCCTTTAAAATCTGGCACAAGACAAGGATGCCCACTCTCACCACTCCTATCCAACATTGTATTTGAAGTTCTGGCCAGGGGAATCAGGCAAGAGAAAGAAATAAAGAATATTCAAAGAGGAAGTCAAGTTATCTCTTCAGATGACATGATTGTATATTTAGAAAACACCATCGTCTCAGCTCAGTCACTCCTTAAGCTGACAAGCAACTTCAGCAAAGTCTCAGAATACAAAATCAATATGCAAAAATCACAAGCGTTCCTGTACACCAATAATAGAGAGCCAAATCATGAGCAAACTCCCCTTCACAATTGCTACAAAGAGAATAAAATACTTACAAATACAAGTTACAAGCAATGTGAAGTAACTCTTCAAAGAGAACTACAAACCACTGCTCAAGGAAATAAGACAGAACACAAACAAATAGAAAAACATTCCATGCCCATGAATAGGAAGAATCAATATTGTGAAAATGACCATACTGCCCAAAGTAATTTACAGACTCAATGCTATTCCCATCAAGCTACCATTAACTTTCTTTACAGAATTAGAAAAAACTACTTTAAATTTCATGTGGAACCAAAAACCAGCTCGTATAGCCAAGACAATCCTAAGCAAAAAGAACAAAGCTGGAGGCTTCACACTACCTGACTTCAAACTATACTATAAGGCTACAGTAACCAAAACAGCATGGTACTGGTACCAAAACAGATAGACCAATGGAACAAAACAAAGGCCTCAGAAATAACACCACACATCTACAACAATCTGATCCTTGACAAACCTGACAAAAACAAGCAATGGGGAAAGGATTCCCTATTTAATAAATGATGTTTGGAAAACTGGCTAGATATATGCAAGAAAGTGAAACTAGACCCCTTCCTTACACCTTATGCAAAAGTTCATTCAAGATGGATTAAAGATTTAAACCTAAGACCTAAAATCATAAAAACCCTAGAAGAAAACCTAGGCAATACCATTCAGGACATAAGCATGGGCAAAGATTCATGACTAGAACACAAATGCAATTGCAACAAAAGCCAAAATTGACAAATGGGATCTAATTAAACTAAAGAGCTTCTGCACGGCAAAAGAAACTATCATCAGAGTGAACAGGCAACCTACAGAATGGGAGATAATTTTTGCAATCTATCCATCTGAACAAAGGGCTAATATCCAGAATCTACAAGGAACTTAAACAAATTTACAAGAATAAAACAACCCCATCAAAAAGTGGGTGAAGGATATGAACAGACACTTTTCAAAAGAAGACATTTATGCGGCCAACAAACATATTTTAAAAAGCTCATTGTCACTGATCATTAGAGAAATGCAAATCAAAACCACAATGAGATATCATCATACTCCACTTAGAATGGCGATCATTAAAAAGTCAGGAAACAACAGATGCTAGAGAGTATGTGGAGAAATAGGAATGCTTTTACACTGTTGGTGGGAGTGTAAATTAGTTCAACCATTGTGGAAGACAGTATGGCAATTCCTCAAGGACCTAGAACTAGAAATACCATTTGACCCAGCAATCCCATTACTGGCTATATACCCAAAGGATTATAAATCATTCTACTATGAAGACACATGCACATGTATGTTTATTACAGCACTGTTCACAATAGCAAATACTTGAAACCAACTCAAACGTCCATCAATGTTAGACTGAATAAAGAAAATGTGGCACATATACACCATGGAATACTATGCAGCCATGAAAAACAATGAGTTCATTCATGTCCTCTGTAGGGACATGGATGAAGCTGGAAACCATCATTCTCAGCAAACTAACACAGGAACATAAAACCAAACACCACATGTTCTCACTCATAAGTGGGAGTTGAACAATGAGAACATATGGGCACAGGGAGGGAAAACATCACACACTGGGCCTGTTGGGGGTTGGGGGGCAATGGGAAGGATAGCATTAGGAGAAATACCTAATGTAGATGATGGGTTGGTGAGTGCAGCAAACCACCATGGCACATGTATACCTGTGTAACAAACCTGCACGTTCTGTACATGTATCCCAGGGCTTAAGGTATAATAATAATAATAAAAGAAATGGAATGAGGAGATGAGACAATTAAAAGGCAATTAAACCTTAAACAAAAGAGATGAATTTCTTCATACTTCTTGTTTATGAGGGTATTTTCTCTGCCCTTTCTTATCTTCCCTACCCACAGTAAGAGAAGTAGTTTGAGTTATTTATTTTGCCAATAATTTTATATTGTTTAGGCTCTTATACAGCTAATGCCAGCTAATTCTCTCTAAAAATTAAAATACTTTATTACCAAAGCCCTTATTTCCAGCTATATTAATCAAATAGCAAAGTTATAATCCCCAAAATAGAAAGTCATTTCTTTTGTAATACAGCACATCTCTGAATGAGCCATGTAGGTATTTTGTAAGCATAATCATCGTTATCTATTCTACAAAAAACAAAATTTAATTTATTGTAATCATGAAAGATATTGTAATGGCCCAGGATGCCATGTAAAGGTACAGATCACTGGGCAGGAATATTACCAGAGTTTAATTGTTGAATCAAGAAGCCAGTCAGGAAATGGTATTAGTAGGGAACAGAAGCCAGGGCAGAGCCAGATTGAACACTCACCAGCAATCCAAGTAGACAAGATAACAGAAATCTGAACTATTTTAAAGATCAAGAATTCAGTATGATGAACACATTTTTTTTCTCTCTAAAAATTTCAGTGAAACAGATACCTGTGCAAACGAATCACATCTTCTCCTTTCAAAGAGAGTTTCCATTTGAAACCTCATATCTTAAATTGCTTTAATTCCTAAATGAGCAAAGAGCCTGCAGCATATTTCCCTATTCAATTTGGAGTAGAGATAATTCCCAAGTAATTACATTAATGAAAAGGAAGTGACAAAGATAACCTCAGATGGCAGGCAAAACAAAAGTTACCCATGTTTTACATTTGAAATAAACATAAATTTAAACGATTATGAAAATTACATTTTAGAGAAACCGAGAAGCTGTTCCACCTCACTTTATCACATCAGTTTAATTGGGAGACAGAAGCCCCTTTCTCACTTTTCGTGAAATTAATATGAGTTATTGACTTGTATTTGCATGAAAACTATTTAACATGCAGAAATACTAAAGATTCGAGTGGCTCAAATTAAAGAAGCTGTTATGCAAAATAAGTGTTTCCAATCCAAAATTTGAAAATCAGTTATCAAATAGTTCCCCACAGAAAACTGGGAATCTGTGTAAGTCAGCTATTCAAAGAGAAAATCCATGTAAATGTACAAGTGAAATTTACATAGCAAAACTCACATAAAATGAACAAAATGGAAAGTATTGGCCATGGGTTTCTATTTCTTCATTATTAAAATGACCTTCTTTTAATCTATTAGAATTCTATGAGAAATATCACTACAGTAAATAAATTTTATCAAAATTATAAAATTTAAGTAATCATATTAAGTTTTTTCATGCATTTAAGCAATAGTGAATTTCCAAATATTGAGAGGTTGTAGTTTTTAAAAAGTTATTGCATATATAGAAACACTTACTGTTATTTCCTTGCAGCAAAAATCTACATCCACCACAACACCTTGAAGTTACTGCCTGTTAAAAAGTCACAAAAACATGAATAGGTTAATTTAAAATACAATAAAGTCTAAATTACAATAGCTAATAAGATTCTTTTATGTTCATAAATAAGTATTAAAACTGTATTATCGTGGTTTTAGTTTATTTTCATAAATTAAAAACTATAAAAGGCAGTGAAAATTATTTCTCAATGTACATCAGAAATTAAAAATACTAAATACTACTGAGAAAAAAAAGAAAATTTAAATTACAGAAAAACAAAAATATCTTATTTGGAAAAAAGAATGCATTTTTTCCCAATAATGTTTATAAATAACCTGATCATTGGTTTATATTGAGGGGATAAAGAAGTTTTAGTTCCATTCTCATTAGAGATTTATGATTTAATGTTTATCCAAAATTGTCTTTGCTTCAACAAATCTTTCTTAATTCATCAAACTTGAAAATAAGCAAGAGAAAAAAAATAACTAATCAAAATCTAATTAGATCTAATCAAATTAGAGACACTATTTTTACTATTTTTGAAGATTAGAAAATATATGCTGCAATATACAGGTCAAGTACATTATTTCACTCAATATTTGATCAATTTTCTGAAGAAAAAATAAATCATTTGTCATGTGTTTGATGTTGAGTAGTATCTGAATATTCAACCTGAAATAGAGAACTTAAGTAATTATCTAAATCACTCAGGCCAAAAGACCAATTTACAAGAATTACCCAGCTCAATGGGGCAAATATTATTGGAGGAATCCTTTTCTTGAATTATTTCCTAAATGCTAATTTGACTTTTTATGGTTGTAATGTACCAAATGCAGAAAGCAACAACATGGCTTGCATTAGACATCTAAAATCACAAATAAAATCATCTGAAACTATGCTTTAATAAAACAAATGTTTACTCTTAAGAGATGTATTTATTTGTATGAAAATATCTAAAACATGCTCTAATTATATTAAGACTTGATTTGGACAGAAATATTATTTCATCGTAATTGTGCATTTTCATTTTATCTCTATTCATTTTAATTTCTGTTCCTCTCCCAGCTAATGTTAAGAGCACAAGGCAGCGATTGAAATCTTTTTCCAGTAATCTGTTTCAAACAGTTTTAAAAGGTACATCAGGCCAAAATATATTCTACTTTATACAATAGAAAAGGAAGTATTTAATTCAGAATTGGAACCATGTTATTTTGTTTAACAGTCTTCTTTTTTTGGGGGGGGGGTTCGGTAATCAAAATCTGACAGCATTGGCAGGCCGCAGTGACTAACGCCTATAACTGCAACACTTTGGGTGGCACAAAGATCACTTGAGGCCAGGAGGCGAAATCCTGTCTCTACTAAAAACACAAGAATTAGCCGGACATGGTTGTGTGCTGTTGTAATCCCAGCTACTCTGGAGGCTGAGCAATGATAATGGTTTGAACCTTGGTGGCAAAGAGCCAAGACCATGCCACTGCACTCCAGCCTAAGCAACAAAGTGAGACTCTGTCTCAACAACAAAAATAATCTGCTGATGTAGTGTAACCTAAAATATTTTATACATTTATCTACTATGCTAATTTTTAAATCACGCAACTTGGATTTGAAGAAATCAATATTTTTAAAAGAAAATAAAATGTTTTAAAATTTCTATAATAAATTTAAGAAGTAGTCTTTCATGTTACAGGCAAAATAATACCAGATTTTAGAGTTTAAGAGTTATTTGCTCAAGAAAGAGATCCCAAGGTAAATAATAACTTAGTTGGTTTCTTTATCATGAAGCCTCTTATTCAAAAAGCTATTAAATTGTCATTATTTTGAGATTAAACTTAAAGGACTTGAATAAAAATTAATAATCATTGACTTCTGCTCTTTACCAAAATGTTAGTATTTTGACAACATTTCCTATGAGTCCCAAACTTCATTTTTATTAATGTAGGACAACTCTTCAAAATCTATTGTTATAATATTTTTTAATTTTATAATTAAATTTTTATCTAATACATAAAAAGTATAACTTTTAAGTGAAAATGAAGCTATATCAAGTTAAAATATCTTAAAAGACACCTTATTTCTCTCCATAAAAACTATTTCTAGCTATAGAAATTCCTGAGATATATAGTCTTTCTTTGGGACACTAGAGATATCATTTCAGATAAATTTTAGATTCTTAGCTTCACTATATAATTACATCTTTAGTATTTTTGTAATTAAAAATATCTTCCTACTCCATGGAAATACTCTAGTACCACCTGTGCTTGGCTGCTGTTAAGGCAGTATAAGGTGTTCCATCTTGCTAGAGGTATTCGGAGAGTAGAAGCTACTATTAAATGGGAGGAAATAGGTAGTTCCTGATTTTTAGATTTAGATTGTACTCAGGGTGGTTAAAGGAAGAGTAATCATGAAATAAAACACCCCCTACAGTGAAGTTCTTCAACATTCTCTATACTTCTATTTTTCACTAAAGGACTGCTTTTCCTTTGGTCAAATACCCTACAGAGGCACACTCTACTTGATAACATTGTGTTGAGCTATTATTGTTGAGCTATTTGAAGTTATAAAAATATTTCATTAAATGATGTATTATTTGAAAATCGCTGTCATGGAAGTTGGAATGGAGGCCCTAGGGCCCTGCCCTTTCCTCTCTACATATTCCCTCCCAACCTGTGGTTTCAGAAGCCACCTTGATGAAACCTTGAGGTTTTCAGGGAGCAAAGTCTGAAATCCACTTCTGCATTTCCATACTTTTTCATTTCAAAACACAGGGAGAAGAAATATGAGAAGCTGTAAGTTTGCTGGGGAAAAAAAGGGGAAATACAAGAGAAGAAACAATGTAGAGAACTTGAGGAAAAATAAAGGAAAGAGCTGGGTTTTAGGCAAAATTTGCAAAGTATATTCCAAAACTTTAGGAAACTGGTTGGGAAACACAACCCTGAAACAGATGCTTAAGAGAAACATACTATAGATAAATGAAACTTTACAGACAACTTGTATATCTTCATTCTTCCAGATGCTTTGTGTGTGTGTGTGTGTGTAGATATTTAAACATGATTTTCTGATATGTTAGGTGATTTTCAACATGATTCAGTTTGAGAATGATTTTAATACGGTTATATTCCAATGGAAAAAATTTTAAAATACAGGCTTGTTCCTAAAAAATCGAGGACATCTGGTCACCCTTCCTGTATGTGAATTGCCTTAAAATTCTTCCACATCCTGGAATAATTTTCATAAACTACAGAGGTTAATATAGCATGGGAATTGATGCTTAAAGTAGAACTCTTTTCCTTAAAATATGACTCTGGTCCCAAGGACAGTCATTATCCTTTTGGCATGTCTTTTATTGTTAAATCCACTAACATCTAATTACATTTGGAAGAAAAAAAGAAACGAAAAAAGAAAAAAAACATTCAAATAGCTACTCTAGGATTCACACCCAAATACCTGGAGAGTATGCACAAGATTTTGGCTTACTCTAATGTTAATTCTCTTCTTTAGAATGTTTGGAAGTTCAGCACCAGATCCTGATTTCTGGCTTGCCAAAAGGCATGCTGGTTTCTTGGTGTGGTTTTCTAGCTCTTTTGCTATTAGTGCATAATTTGACAGTATGCTGCCACGGTAACAGAATTCATTAAGGGCTTTCAGTTTTGTTCTGCCAATGAGGATTTTTGGCTGCATGTAGTGCTAGCCTCTGAAGATTGATCCACAATATTTGTCTTATAAAGCCTTGTCATCTCATAGCATGACTGATGCTACAAAATAATCCATAATGAGCCAGGTTCTCCCAGCGTGAGCTACTCCCTGAGGGTATGTTAGGCACTACTGGAAACCACATTAACTTCTTTATCATCAAACTTGGGTGCTTAAAATAGACTGCATGAAAGTGCGTACATTACGCAGTCCCATGTTGCACCATTGACTGGGGAGTGGATTAGGAATGTGATCCCTAATGTTCATTTTCTACAATATCCCATTATGGGAAACAGAAAAAAAACTTCCAGATTTTGACAATGTTCTTTGCATAGTCATTTTCAAAGGCAAGGTTTGCTGAAAATAACTATGTGGTTGATAGAATAAAGCCAAAAAAAATTCTTCATGTTTTTAACCAATATTTTCCCATATGATTTCAGTGAAAAACAACATATCTTCTATAATTTTCAACTATATTTTTACTACTACGTCATTACATTTTGACCACATGTTCTGTGTTTAACTATTGGATTATTAATCCTTTTCTGTGGTGTGCAATGACAGTTAAAAATCCTATGAAATATTTTTATGCTGATGAGGCCAAAGTAATTTGTTCAACCCCCTTTGGGACTGGTTGGTTCCACAATGAAGAACTAAACTACCCTGGAATTCTTTCCTGTGGTTCAAATGAGAGAATGAATCAGGGCAAGCCCAGCAAATACACTGGAAAATAAATCAAAGCATGGTATTGGATGAAGAGGGAAAATAAGCATAATCTTTATCTAGGACAGTTGTTCTCAACCAGGGGTAATTTTTACCCCAGGGAAACTTTGGCAGTGTCTGGTCACATTTTTCAGCATCAGCACCGGGGGTGTACTAATCACATCCAGTGGACGGGGCCAGAGAGGCTGCCAAAGATTCTATAATACAGAAGACAGCCTTACCCTCCACGCCCAAAACATGATCCAGTCCGAAATGCCAATAGTGTTGTGGTTGGAATGCCCTGGTTTTGGTAACTCTCAAGGAGGAGGAGAGAACACCAGCCATATTTTCCTACAGTTAATCTGGATCATAGGACAAAGAGGGCAAAATACATCTGTAAGGAGTGGTGGCCTTAGGCTATGGGAAGGGCATGATATGAGATGCTCAGAAGAGGTAATCCATTGACTCTCCCCAGTAGATGGAAAAAGGGGAACCCCAGTGCCACCACTCTGTTTTGCAGTGGGGTGCCTAGGTGGCACTTTGAAAGGGCAAGCCACAAAGAAAGGCCTCGCCAGATGAGAGACATAGCTGCTAGCTACCGCAGAGAATCCATAGCTTCAAGTGCTCCGTGCTCCTTTAGTTCAGAATCACTTCTCAACATTTTTTCCCCGTTAACATATTACTTTGTTATCCTAGGCTGTCATTTATCATCCTTTTAACATTTTCCATAACCTACTAAGTTATTTTATCATCCCTTTCTGGGTTTCTTTATTTGAATTCTTACAAATCTTTCACACTAATAATATTTCCTGCTTGTTTTGGGGACATGTAATCTATTTTTTCATTTAATCAGTTCCTTCTCCTAATCCCAAACTACATCGTTTTGGCCTTAGCATCATTAATAAGAAATCTCAGAGAATAGGGCCTCTCTCCTGCTAAAAAGAGTACATGTAAAATAATAGCATTTCGATAAGAATGTGTGGTATTGGCCGGGCGTGGTGGTTTATGCCCATAATCCCAGCATTTTGGGAGGCAAAAGTGGCGGATCACCTGAGGCCAGAAGTACGAGATCAGCCTGACCAACATGGAGAAACCCTGTTCTGCTAAAAATACAAAAATTAGCTGGGCGTGGTGGCGCATGCCTGTAATCCCAGCTACTCGGGAGGCTGAGGCAGGAGAATCGGGAGGCGGAGGTTGTGGTGAGCTGAGATCTCGCCACTGCACTCCAGCCTGGGTGACAGAGTGAGCCTTCATCTCAAAAAAAAGGTGATATTTCTTGTTTAGCTAACATCATGTTCTCTTTACTCCTTTTCTTGGCTCTTCCACTCTTTCTTCTTACCTTCTTTCCTAATTCCTACATTCACCAAATGCCTCCCCTGTGCTCAGCTGCTAAAACACAAAAAATAAACGGGTGTGCTCCTTATCCAACACACACAGAAAGCGGGCATGAACAGAATGCAGTTACCTCAACTGAGAGTGCAGGGATCAAATCTATCCAATATATTTAACAATAGAATAGGTTTTTTTTCTTCTATAAAAATTTGTAGGCTGTGCGCGGTGGCTCACGCCTGTAATCCCAGCACTTTGGGAGGCCGAGGCTGGTAGATCACGAGGTCAGGAGATCGAGACCATCCTGGCTAACATGGTGAAACCCCGTCTCTACTAAAAATACAAAAAAATTAGCCGGGCATGGTGTCGGGCGCCTGTAGCCCCAGCTACTCGGGAGGCTGAGGCAGGAGAATGGCGTGAACCCGGGAGGCGGAGCTTGCAGTGAGCCGAGATCGCCCAACTGCACTCCAGCCTGGGCGACAGAGTGAGACTCTGTCTCAAAAAAAAAAAGAATTGTTCAGGTCTAATAAATGTCTTTATGTTTTATCTTGTTACTTTTCTGATTGCTGTTTTTTGTACAATATCAATTCTTAGGTAACACATTTCAACTCTAAATAAGCATTGGAAAATGGTAATTAGTATTTAAGGAGAATCCTGAATTTACAAACTCAGAGGTTCATATTACATATATTTTATAAATGGTATCCAAAGCATGATCAAACAATATTTGTCACAATAGTCTTATAATTTAAGAGGGGTCATCTGAGAGTAGCCATATTCAACCTTGAGGAACTTGGATGCAAATCTGGGTGAGATGCCCAGTTCTCTTTAAATTTTCATTGTAAGTCTTATGGGTAAGTGTCAAGCCACAAAGAAGTGCAAAGACACCAAGAAAACACTAGCAAGTTCGTTTGTTTTAAATAAAGGATACTTTTACCTTTAGATTGTTTTAATTGGAGACATTAATTAGTTTTGAAGTTTGAAAAATACGTTACATTAAAGGTAGAGCTACTTGTAGTGCATCTGAAGATAATCAACCATGTTTTTTATTATTTCAAATTTGGTATTATAACAACATTTGAAATACACAAAACAAGAAATCTATAATATTTCCTACACACAAGACAGAAATCAGTATCCCCATTTAAGTTATAAATAAGTATATTTTTCCTCTATTTCTCCATAAAGTTAAAATTAAAATAATCATTTTTAAAATGTTTTAAAAATTAAGTCCTGAAAATGGCATGAAGTTTTTACTGATTCATTGGAATCAATAAGGAATAATTACATTTGGTCACTAAAGTTATTTTTTAATGGCCAGGGATGGTAATCCCAGCACTTGGGAAGCTGAGCAAGGTGAATGACGTGAAGGTCAGGAGTTTGAGGCCAGCCTGGTCAACATAGTGAAACCCCGTCTCTACTAAAAATACAAAAAATTAGCCAGGCATGGTTCTGGGCACCTGTAATTCCAGCTACTCAGAAGGCTGAGGCAGGAGAATTGCTTGAACCCAGGAGGCAGAGGTAGCAGTGACCCAAGACAGTGCCATTGCGCTCCAGCCTGGGCAACAAGAGCGAAACTTCTCAAAAAAAAATTATTTGTAATCTCTATAAAAGAAGGGTCACTTTTACATTAATATAATTTTATAAGTATATTTTTTAATTGACACAATTGCACATACTTATGGGGTACAATGTGATGTTTCTATACATGTATACATTGTACAGTGACCAAATTAGGGTCAACACCTGTATACATGTATACTTTGTGTAATGGTCAAATCAGGATAAACATCAACTAAAACATGTATCATTTCTTTGTAGTAAGAACATTAAAAATCCTCTCCCCTAGGTATTTTAAAATATTCAGTGCATTGTTGTTAACTAGTCACCCTAGTGTTCAATAGGACATCAGAAATTGTTCCTCCCATCTAATTGTAACTTTTTACCTGTTGACCAATCTCTCCTCATTACCCCCTCTTTTGCCCTCCCCGGGCTCTGGTAACCACTCTTCTATTCTCTACTTCCAAGAGATTAACTTTTTAGTTTCCACATGTGAGTGAGATTGTGTGATATTTGAGTTTCTGCATCCGGTGTATTTCACTTAATATAATGTCTTCCAGGTTCATCTATATTGTTGAAAATGACAGGACGCCATGCTTTTTATGGCTGAATAGTATTCCACTGTGTATATACACCACATTTTCTTTATCCACTCATCTGTTGATAGACACAAGTTGATTCCATTTCTTGGCTATTGTGAATGTTGCAATAAACATGAGAATGCAGATATCTCTTTAAGTACTGTTACATTTCTTTTGGATATATACTCAGTAGTGAGATCTCTAGATCATAGGGTAGTTCAATTTTTTTTAGGTAGATGTTTGCTTTTTAATGTTTTTTATTTTAATAGATGTCAAAGTAGGAAATTATATGGATTTTTACAATATGAAAAAATGAGAATGTATATCTAATGTTGACTATTCAAATTCAAGAAAATTATACTTCAATGGAAAGCAATATGAACTTTGGAATATATGTTTCATAGTACTATAAAAGCTGCTTTTCTCTAATGAAATAAATGTAGAGATTGGTCATTAAAAAATAAAAGTTTAACATAATATTAAAAGAGAGGAACAAAGTTGGAGCACTAACACTACCTTCCTTTAAGACTTACTATAAAGCTACAGTAATCAAGACAGTGTGGTATTGGTGAAGTAGTAGACAAATAGATAAATGGAACAGAACAGAGATCCTAGAAATAGATCCACAGAAATATATTCAACTGATCTTTGACAAAGAAACAAAGGCAATACAATGGAGCGAAAATAGTCTTTTAAATAAATGGTGCTGTAACAACTGAACATCCACATGCAAAAAAAAAGTATCTAGAAATAGACCTCACATTCTTCACAAAAACTGACTAAAAATGGAATTCAGACCTCAGTGTAAAATGAAAAACTATAGAAAATAACATAGGAGAAAATCTAGATGACCTTAGGTTTGGTGATGACTTTTTAGATAAATAACAAAGGCAAAATCTAGGATTGAAAGAATTGGTAAACTGCATTTCACTAAAGGTAAAAATGTAGGCTCTCCAGAAGACACTGTGAAGAGAATAAAAAGACAAGCCACAGACTGGGAGATGATATTTGCCAAAGATATATCTAATACAGGAGTTATCCAAAATATGCAAATAATTAGTAATACACAACAGTAAGACAAAAGAAACTTGATTAAAAAATGGGCCAAAGACCTTAAAAGACACCTCACCAAAGAAGATATCGAGATGGCAAATAAGCATATGAAAAGATGCTCAACATCGTATGTTATCAGGGAAATGCAAACTGAAACAACAATAACAATAAAACAACAAGATACCACTACACACCTACTGGAATGGCCAAAATCTGGAACACCGACAACACCAAATGCTGGGAAGCATGTGCAGCAACAAGAACTCTCAGTGCTGGTGGAATGCAGAATGGATCAGCCACTTTGAAAGATAGGAGACTAGTTTCTAACAAAACCAAATAAATCTTTACCATACAACCCAGCAGTGATACTCCCCTTCCCAAAGGAGCTGAAAACTTATGTTCATACATGTACACTGAGGTTTATAGCGGCCTTATTCATAATTGCTGAAACTGGGAGGCCATTAAGATGCCCTTCAGTAGGTAAATGCGTAAATGGACATGGTACTTCCGCAGCCACTGGACTACTACTAAGAACTTTTGTTAAAAATGCTCTATGAAACTGTGAAAAGACATGAAGGAGCTTTAAGTATTTATTAATAAGTGAAAGAAACTCATCTGGAAAGTCTACACAGTGTGTGATTCCAACCACATGACATTCTGACAAGACAGTGAAATAATCAGTGATTGCCAAAAGTTGCAGGGAGAGAGGGGTGAATAGGTGGAAGACGGGATTTTTGGGGCTGTGAATCTACTCAGTATGATACTGTAATGGTGGACACATGGCATTATATCTTTGTTCAGACCCATAGAATATATAACACCAAGAGTGAAGGCTAATGAAAAGACTTTGGGTGACAATGATGTACTATTGTAGGTGCATTGCAACAAATCTATTACTCTGGTGGGCAATGTTGATAATCGGGGAGGCTCTGCATGTGTGAAGGCAGGGGTATATGGAAAATCTCCATTTCTTCCATTCAATTTTTCTGTGAACCTAAAACTACTAAAAATATAGGACACAGTGGGCACAGTGGCTCATGCCTGAAATCCCAGCACTTTGGGAGGCTGAGGCAGGAGAATCACTTGAATCTGGAAGTTTGAGACCAGCTGGGAAACGCAGACCCCATCTCTACAAAAAAATTTAAAAATTAGCTGGGCCTGGTGGCACATGCCTGTAGTCCTAACTACTTAAGAGGCTGAGGCAGGAGGATGGCTTGAGCCCAGAAGTACAAAGTTACAGTGAGCTGTGATTGCACCACTGCACTCCAGCCTGGGTGACAGAGCAAGACCCTGTCTCTAAATATAGATAGACTATATATATAGTCTATTAAAAAATGAAACTTGAAGAAACGTGGTAATTTATATTAATCAGCAGTACATTGTTAAATAATGAGATTATTTTCCATTTAAAAAAGAAATATAATTTTTAAAGTATTGAAGATTTAAAGTAATAATTTCTATTCTGATTGTATCAAAATATTCACAATGATATCTATATAAGGGTACATAACTTGAGGTAATAAGTAAAATATACAAATATAAATTAATGTCAAGAAATAAAACAATTCTCTTCTAAGTTATGAAAAAAAGAAAAGTGATCTGTCAGTCTTTTAATCAAAAACATCCAAAATATTCAATACTTGTCAATGACACTATATTAATGAGGTAATTTTAGAATGTCTAGAACTAAAAGAAATGAAATGTCAATGACTGATGCTATCTGATGACAATCATCATTATTAATGAGGGAGGTAGGATGGTCAGACACTAATCCCATGGATTCTAGAAGAAGATTCAGGTTTGGATTTACAAAGGTAGGAAAGATGCTCTCTATAACCTTGTGTCCTCATTATTATAAACAGGAATTACACTTTTCCTACTCATATGATTGCCCTGAGGATTATATGAGGAAATAGAAATAAATCACTTAGAACAGATACTGTCACAGAGTCTGCATTTTGACAAATACCATTAGTACTTTTACTAATACATTTTTAAAATCATGAAAATGTTCCATTAAAAACTTAACCTAAGAGCCGGCGCCAATACACAAAGTAGTACAGCCTGGATTACATGCACTGTTCTTTAGCTGAATGGCATAGAACAAGATTCATTTCTCGGACCATAATCATATCTAATCGCACTTCCCGGAACTCAAACACATCACTCCTAAATTGAGGAAGTTGGACTAAATGATTCTGTACTTTGAAAATATCAATGAGAGTCAAATTATAATTTGGCTGTCAAGGCTTATCTCCTTTATAGGACAGTAAGCTCCTGCAGAGTCACAATTTTGTACTTTTTTTTTGAGATGGAGCCTCGCTCTGTCGCCCAGGCTGGAGTGCAGTGGCACAATCTTGGCTCACTGCAACCTCCAACTCCTGTGTTCAAGCGATTCTCCTGCCTCAGTCCCCCAAGTAGCTGGAATTACAGGGGCACACCACCACGCCCGGCTAATTTTTGTATTGTTAGTAGAGATGGTGTTTCACCACATTGGCCAGGCTGGTCTTGAACTCCTGGCCTCAGGTGATTCACCTGCCTCAGCCTCCCAAAGTGCTGGGATTACAGATGTGAGCCACTGCACATGGCCTGTACTTCTGACTCTGTAACTCTCAGGGATAGAGTTGCCTACAGGAAATAATATAATTTTAGAAATAATAGAAATAACTACTGGGCATTCACTACATGCTAGGTGTTGGGTGTCAAATATGTGCTAGACAGAGTGCTGGGTACAAAAGTGAGTCTTAAAATGTTAAGTAGCTTGCCAACTTAAAATTATAGTGAACCCACCAGCAACTATTAGGAACTGGAGTCCGGTCCCCCAAAATATTTTCCAGGCCTGAAATTGTGTTTTTATCAAATTTCCCCAATGACGTGAAAAGTACATTCTAAGGAAATCCCGAGATGGTATAATTTTTATAAATGTTTTAAAAAAATTAATGAAGGTTAATTTTGTAATTTTGTGGCATTTAGGCCTATTTAAGAAAAAAAAATAACAAAAGTGATAGCCAAGCAACATTTACAAGTAAGAGTACTTTTCAAGAAAGCTACACTCACTCTGATTGTGATGTAACAAAATGAGTTACCATGATCATACCAAAATGAAGTGAATAATTCTCCCAATTCTAAGAAGTTCAAAATTAAAAAGTCAATGCTCTATACAATTCAGGAAAATGTGAATTTCCCTGTTGAAGACATAGAAGTATTTGTAACCTCTCAAAAATCCTGTGGAGAAAAAAAAAAAAATAGAAAGAATGAATAAGACCTAGTATTTGCTAGCACAGCAGGGTGACTATAGTCAAAAATAATTTAATTTTCCATTTAAAAATAATTAAAAAGGTATAATTGGAATGCTTATAACATAAAGAAATGATAAATGTTTAGGTGATGCATACTCCATTTATCCTGATGTGATTATTACACATTGTATGCCTGTATCAAAATATCTCATGTAACCCATAAAGATATTTACCTATGTACTCACAAAAAGTAAAAATTTAAAAAATTTTTAAAGAGCCTGTGAAGTTGGAACAGAACCAATTTTAAAAAGAGACAAAATTCTATCAAAATGGAAAACTCTATGTGTGTCAGCATCTAATGCCTCTGTATTCTACGCTTCAAGTAGCTCAGCCTACAGGGCTCCAAAATTCATGGGTGGAGCCACTTACGCCTCCAATGGGATTGTTCTGACTGCAGGGAGGAAGTTCTGTGAGTTCTGTTCCCTGAGTATCACTGTCAACAGAGACTGCCGTATCGTTAACGATGCTCTAAATTGTGACCTCAAAAAGATAATATCAGTTCTCAAAATTAGTAGAACTATTAGAGAAGGATAACATTTCTGGGTCTAATGGAATATTTACTATAATAAAGAAACACTACTTGGATACAACATGGTGACATTAAACATCATTGGGACATCCGAGTGGATCATAATGTAGGAGGTACTAAAAGATTGTCTCAGAATTAGGAGGTAGTACCGTTAGGGCATAATAGAGGATGCCTGGTCCATTTGGCTCTAAAATGATCATTCCCTTGAATCTATAGCATATCTATTCCTAATGAAACCAAATCCAAATTCCTCAGTGAGGATCTTGATCTTCTTTATCAAGCAATTCAAATCTGAGTCTCTCCAACATCACCCCTAATCAATTCATGAAAGGCAAGACGGAAGTGACAGAGAGGGGAAAGAACATTATTGATGTATTCAATTTCCCTCTCTCTAGCCAGACTCAGTCTGAGAATTATCCAAAATAAAGGGCTCTCCGTTTAAAAAATCTCAGAGAAATATTACATAAACTATCATAATAATCTTTGATGAAGGGGCTTTTTGTGGCAAAACTTGTTCATATATCTTACTTAATGGCTTTGGCTTCGATTTAAATCCCCTCTTGTCACTGTGAAGTCATAACAGCTAACTGTAGCTGACTGCTCTACAATGTGCAACCTAATGATGCCTTTAATTAAAGCTGTGGCATCAAGAAGATACAGATTCATGGGATCTGATCTGGTTTGGCCACTCCATAAATGTCGGGCCTTGGACAAGCCCCTTAATCCTAATGACTCTCAGGTCCCTCATCTACAACATATTTATAACTACTTTCCTGTTTTGAGTTTTAGAGATAAAAATTTTGAGTATAACTCATGTTTCACCGCCAACCATATAGAAGGTGTTTGGGAATTTGTTCCTATGAGTAGTAGTAGCAATAGTAATTGTATAGCATTTTTCCTGGTGGGATACATTCCAGGACCCCCAGTGGATGCTTGAAACCATGAATAGTACCCACCCCTATATATTCTATATCTTTTCCTATGCATACACACTATGAGAAAGTTTAATTTAGAAATTAATCCCAGTAATAGATTAACAATAAAATGGAACAATTATCACATACTTCAGTAATGTGGTATCTCATTTCTCCTCTCTCTCTCTGTCAAAATACCTTATTGTACCGTACTGTGGCTGAAACTGAGGTTTCAGTGGATAAAGGGAAACAATTATAATAATTATCCATGATGGTAGTGATTATTAGTAGTAATAGCTTTAGTACTTCAAGGCGGGGAAGAAAACCCTGCAGACCTCTGAGAAAGCAGAAGAGGGCAGCAGTCCTATAAGTAGAATGTATGAGTGCTACTGAAGAGACGCAGGCACAGGACAGGGCGCCATGATGTCAGCAACACAATTTTATGTGTCGATGTACCTGGGTCATGGTGCCGAGATATTTGGTCAAACACGATTTTGGGTGTTTCTGTTAAGGTGTTTCTTGATGAGATTAACTTTTAGATTGGTGGATTTTGAGTAAAGAAGATTGCTCTCCATAATGTGAGTGACCCTCACCCAGTCACTTACAGGCATTAATAAAGACTGAACTTCCCTAAGCAAGAAGGTATGTTTCCAGCACACTGTCTTTGGATTTAAACTGCAACTCTTCCCTGGATCTCCAGCCTGTCAGCCTACCACATCAGATTTTGAACTTGCCAAACCTCCACAATCCTGTGAGCCAATAACTTAAATCTCTCTCAATCTCTCTTCTCTGTGTATGTGTGTAGACACACACACACACACACACACACACACACACGCGTACATATTCTAACATTTTGTTGATTCTGTTTCTCTAGAGAACCCTGACTAGTACCATCACTAAGGCCAAGCAACAAACTTGAACCAAGAACAGAAATAATCAGGCTCTCCAATGTTAAAACCCACAAAACTTGCTGTAAGATGACAGTACGTATTATCTGGTACGTAAGTTTCAAGATCAGCTGTGTCATTTGTCCTTCAAAGTTAGGTAAACGATGTATCATTACTGAAACCACTAACAAAAACAAGAGAAAGAGGAATTAACTGTTAAACATCTATTCTGTAGGACGACAAAAGATAAACTCTTTACAATAGGAATATTGTGGCTTTAAAGTTCTCAATAGAGAAATAAATCTAAACAATTTGTCCCTGCTAAAGAATATGAAAAGCACATAGTGCATAGCCATTAGCATTAAACAGTGGAAATAAATATAAGGCAAATGTTATACTAAATCTTCCATTTTATGTTGTTCACACAAAGACATATTTTCGATAAAAAAAGAATCATACCAAATACAACAATATTGCACAAAATGAATTTCCCTGCTCTTTTCTATTTGGATATTTACATAAATTTTATTTGTTACTTATTTTGATATTAAAGACTTAGAAATAAATACTGTAAAGCAAAATAATGATAATTCCAATTAAGTGCTTCCAAATTCATTCTTAGATACTCTAATGCATCTAACACCACATCATGAGAAAAAATGAGAAATTTAACCACACATCCTTAATTTAACCTTTTATTCCCATGAAAATTCAAATAAAGCCACTGTTGGAAGGGAAATGGCAACACTTGAATAAGCTATAAAGGGGGTATAAGTCTATTAAAAAAACTTCTACAATGTATATAGAACTAAAAAAGAGACTTATTTAATACCACACTGACCACATTGCAGTTAAGGCTAGGTGTGTTTAGAAACTATGGCAATGGGTATGTTGATATACGTTAATTCTTATTATGATTATATTACCTAATAAGTTCCTTAATTTTCGGCAATATTTATAGGATGGAAGAATGATTTATGCTTAGGTACATCAAATGTTGTATCTAGTTTTAGCAATTGGAAGATATTATCATTTAAATCAAAGCTTGTTTGGAGTTGAAAGTCATTTTGCAATCAATACTTTTACTCTGAACATTGAGGACTTTTACATCTTCCATAGAAATCTGAGGTCTGTGCCACAGTAGAAACTTCTCTAAAATAATTGATCAATTCTTCAGCAACTGAATGCCATTGAATAGAACTGAGGGTACATCTACTTAATTTAAAATAATCGTAGAGCAACATTTTAAGATGTTCTTAAAGAATTAACACATATCAGACTCAAAAACCACTCTAAATCATAAGAAATGAGACAATAAAACATAAAATCTATTGTATAAATGTATAAACATTCTACATATGGACTTAAAAATAACTGCAATTCTCTTGAAAAGATTCATTGCTTAGATTTGCATTGTTCAGATTTACCAGTCAAAAGAAAATAAAGAAGCTCATCTTCTTTGGGTAACATCAGTTTTAAAAATCAGTTTTTGGTCCCTTAGGTAATGAAATTGTCTTAAAGTCTAAAATAAATTTCTAATTTTAAAAAAAGTACGTGGACAGTTTTGTACTCTGAAGTGCTTATAACGATGCTTTTGTAAACAAAGTACTATAACAAATAGAGACTGTTTTATTGCCTTAGGATTATTCTTTATCTACTACTGCACAAATATGCTGCCAAGTAGCAACTTCACAAGGGTAGAGGCAAAATTAAATGCCTACAATTGCCATTAGCAATTGTGAACAATTATTAATCTGTCTAGAGGAAACTAATGGACGTGATTAGAGAAACCAAAAGTCTTCATCTTATGGAAATCAATAGCGTAGATGTATTTCCATCAGATAATGAATTACGGATTCGTGAGCTGAAGATTAAGGATGCCTTAGTATATATTCTGCCCGTACCTATCAATTGTATGTCTCTCTCTCTCAATCTGGTTTATACCAATACTATATCATAGCTAACTACCTCTTTATTTTCAAAAATTATTGAGACACTACATAAAAGAGATGGGAAGTAAATCTCTGTTTAGTTTCCTTTGGAACTGTAAAACAAATCGGCAACAAAGGAATTATTGCTAATTTATATCAAATAAGGTGACTGGCAAATGAAAACTTTTGTTTTTAAAACACCCAGGACATGGTTGCAGCAATATTAGCTCAAAGAAAAAGATTTGTCATTATTATGCACTGTAGATTATCTACATATACATAAAAATAAACAGAACCAGAGTGTATTTGGAGAAACTCATAATAAACAATGTTTCATGAAATCACAAAATAGATTGGTCGTGTCTGATCCCATTTACAAATATAGATCTAACCTAAATCCCAATAAAAGCATGAATACATTAAACTTTTATGCAATTGCCTTTTATTAAATGTCTACTAGAGTCTGGTTAATTCAGATTAGAAGTTAATTGAAAACTTTTATGGTATGCATATTTTATGTCAGATTACACATATACAGAGAAACTCACGAGAAAAACAGTTCACAGTAAGAGAATTCCTGGAGAAAATGTGGGAAGGGGAGAGGGCACCTTGGTCTCCACTCAAATTCCATTACAGAAGAATGAAAGGACTTCTGTTGTAGGCAATTTACTTCTACGGTTGTATCTATAAGGAGGTTTTAAAGTGTGATTCCAGCGTACTCCTCTGTAAGAACAGTAAACTTCTCCTACTAGCTCTCACTTTCCCAGAGGAAGATGGAAACCCTAAAGACTGATTTGAACTAAAGTTGTTCATATAGATTTGGTTAAAGAAGGTTTTTCTTCATATATTGCAAAGTGTTGGGTTTAATAATGTAAAATCTCTGTATCTACAGCTCTTGGGTAATAATTTTTTGTGCTGAAATCCAAGAGCTGAGTGCAGCGACAGCAAAGTAGGAGCATGATGTGGAAGCAAGTTTATCACCTCAGAATCCACTACACCGGCAGCTTAATGGTTAACAGAGTAAATTCATGTGGTCATGACACTGATCTTCAGACCCAGTGGTGGGAGATGCTCCCCACTTATCTCAAAGATAACTTAAAGAGTTACCTTTAAAGAGGCATTGTCTCATAGATGAAGGAGCCTAGGGATGGGGGCAGAGTATCTGTTCAGTTCTCAGTTAATAATGACGTTTCCACAATTTTATCTCACTGGATGTCAGTTGCCTCTTCCATAAAATCAGGATAATACAACTTGCCCTGTCCACATGGTACTTTCCTAAAACCAAAGATGAGGCTGCTTTTGACTGCTTTAGCAAGTATAAAGTAATTAGCAAATAGATAAGAATTATCTTGGTAGAGGCCTAAACATAGAGGAATAGCAAAGATTGTTGGTTTATGCAAATCATAACTACTATTTTTAACCTGTTTGAGACTTCGAGGGCCTAGTCATCTTCAGGCGATATTCTCACCCCTTTGTCACATAATCCTACTGGCTGACATACTGATGAACAGGCCTTTTCAGACTCAATATAATGATGATGTCTGTTTCCACAATGTGGAACAATCTGCACTTCATGCCAAGCTACAGCAACTGCCACTACCTACCACTCAAAGAACTAAATCAGCTTAAAACTCCCCCGTAACACCATGGAGGAAAACTAATGATGTATGCAGGGAAACATTTTGCGTCTCTGGAGCACTGGTGATGTTCTTTTCAGTGCCATCCGCCCTGTGTGCTGATACGGTGATAGCTGTCATTCAACTCCCATCATTTACAATTTTGATTTGAAACACTGTAGTAGGAAAGATAACGTCTCCCACATTTGTCCTCTGGCAAACTTTCTACAAAATTCACAGTGGAGCAAAACTGGGAGGAGGGATTATGACTATCTCAATGACCCATAGTCCCCAGGCTCTAAGAACACTTTTGTCCTTGAGAATATTTGTCAGAATATTTTAGAGGAAATGGCTAAGCAGAAAGTCAGGACTGCATTCAATATATCTTATCATAGTGTTTTCTGCTCTAATATAAAACATGATCAATGCCTATACAATCAAATCACACTGTTATCATTTTTTGTCTCCGTCTCAGATCTCTACATGTTTAATTACTTTCTTGTCTCTGCCTGAATAGATGCTCCAATCATAAAAGAGTCTTACCACTCTTAGATGTCACAGTCTTCTCTATTGCTGTGACTGCTAAACCAACAAATATTTGAGGCATGACTTTATATTTATACTTGCTGCTTCCAGTTTTTAAGAATTTGCTCACTACCTCCTTACAAGACTGTCACTAACCCATGAAAGGCCTTTATGCCAGGGACAAACAGTGCTCTGCACAAAAAGATGTGATGGAAAATTGTCCTAATTGTTATATAAGTTCACAATGCTTATGATGTAATGGTGCTCCTTAGATTTGGCAGTGCACAACCTGCACAAACATAAACAGTGATACTGGGAACAGGAAGAAAAGAGGAATCAAACATAACTCTTTGGCCTGCAGGCTGAGTGGCTAAAACAAAGGTGTTGCTGTTAACAGAGAGAGAGAGTAATCAGGAAGAGCTGCTTGGAGGTTGGAAGATAATGAGTTCAATGCTGGATAAGTTAGTTTTGAAAAGCATCAGAATATCAAAATAGGGAAGTCCAGTATGCTGAATTAAGCTCCAAAAAGGGGAAAATATTAGAAGCAGAGGTAAAGATTTTGGGTATGGCTGTATTAGGTATATTTAAAACAAAAGGAGTAAAAAATAAATAGCTCAAAAAAGAAACTAAAAGAAGAACCTTGCTAGGCCTGTTTCATTGAACTATGGAGGAAATAACAGGATGTTAAGAAGACTCCTGCATACAATTGCACTGTTGTTCACTGAGCAACGCTGAGGGGTGTCAGCCACAGCACAGTTATCAAACGACACGATGGTAAGATCTTGGATAGACTAGAAAATTATCCAGAAAATGATAAGATCTTGAGGAAAGGAGCTCTCTTTCTAATTCACAGAAAAGAGTAACAGAATGGCAATGGTGCAGCTCTGAAGAGTTGTCAAGATACATTAATTCTTTCAAAAATTTTTAACTCTATTCTCAAATAATCTTAAAGTAAAAGTCTGAATAGGCCACCTTCTGTGAGCAACCTTTAAAAAACTCTTCAGTGGATTTCCATACACCAAATAAAGTCCAAACTCTTTAGAGTGACATTAAGGACCCTCAACAGTATTGTCCTATAAGAATAATACAAAACAGACTTCTCATCCTCCACCAAATATACCCTATGCATTCCCGATTTCTGGGCTTTGTCCATGCTTAATCAGAGTGTACTATTATAATCAGTTTACAGATAATATAATTGAAGTTCAAGCTATGTAATTTGTCCATATTGTACATTTCCAAAGTCCATCTTCTTTGTCACCAGGATATGCCACTCAAATTGAGAGTCTATGTAGTACTCATATTTGTAGAACATTACCTAAAATGCCTTGTATAGTTGTGAAATGAGATGTTTTATATAAACTAATGTATTTCAGCTTTTTAAATGTGTGTAATCATTAAATATTTTAATAATATTATTCTTATTCATTAGCTTATTCTAAAATAAGGCCTCTGGTCAAAGAAAAGTAAATAATCTGTTATTGTTATAATTTTTAGACATGACATAGTGCTACCACAGTATAAAATTATGACTATTACTGAAGATATTTCTTCTCTGCCCATGCCTATAAGCAGATTAAAGCTTCCAGTATGCAAAATCAGCTCTCATTTGTCATTGTTTAAAATGATCCATGATGGAGCAACAGGAATTCTCATTCATCGCTAATGGCAATGCAAAATGATACAGCCACTTTGGAAGAAAGCTTTAGTCTACAAAGCTAAACATAATCTTATCCCATGATCCAGCAAGCTTTGCTCCTAGGTATTTACTTCACTGAGCTGAACACTTATAATCTACACAAAAACCTGCATATACATGTTTATAGTGGAATTATGCATAGTTGCCCCAAATGGGAAGAAACCAGGATGTCTGTCAATAGGTGAATGAATAAATAAATCATGGCACATCTAGACAATAATTCAGACATATTATTCAGCGGTCAAAAGAAATGACCCATCGAGCCATAAAAAATCATGGAGGAACCATCACCGCATATTGCTAATGTGAAAGAAGTCACTCTGAAAATACTACACTCTATGGTTCCAACTCTGTGACACTCTGGAAAACACAAGACTATAAAGGGTAAAAAGATCAGTGGTTGCCAGGATTGAGGGGAATATGAGGAGAGGATGAATAGGTGGAGTAGAGGACATTTTTAGGGGATTGAAACTATTCTGTGTGATACGGTAACAGCAGTTGTATGACATTACGCATTTGGCAAAACCCATGGAACTACACAACACAAAGGGTGAAGCCTAATGTACACTATAAATTTCCATTGGTAATAATTTATTACATTGGTGCATCAGTTGTAGAAGAATGTACCACGCCAATGTGCGATATTAATAACAGAGGAAACTGATGGGGAAGAGAGAGAGAGAATTATCTATATTCTGTTCAATTTTTCTGTAAACCTAACAAAGTGAAGTCTACTGACTTTAAAATATGCAATATTTAAATTACTGAATATATTAAAAAAATCCATTAAACAGTAAAATTTTTTACAGGATGGACAAAGCACAGAGGACAATGATACTTGCAATAGTGATGGTCTCTCTCACTACTTCCTAGACACCCTCTCCTACTGCCCTGTCAAATGAATGATACCTCTTACTCCCCTGCTACCGGAAGCAAACAACCTAACAGAGACCTACTTTCCCCTGAGCCTCCAGATCTCCTCAAGATACTCCTCTTGAAGTTACTTCACTTACCAAAATTCATCTTCAAAGAGCTTACTGAATTATCAAAACGTTCCCAGAGGTCATGGTATGTAGATGATGGTGGAAAACAAGCACCAAAGAGGATTGCTTTGTTAATCAGCACTTCACTGTAGCTTCTTTTTAATGTTCTCCTCCTTAACGCTTTAAGGATTTTACACCACATTTAGTTACTTTCTTTATTACTTCTTATGGCTGGTGGCAAGAAAACTTAGAAAATAAGTATATAAAGATTTCTTTACCAACTGAGACTATTATATCCTAAGTTTATTAAGCCACATAACAATTAGTTCCTCTGCAATAATTTATAGTTAATTTGCTTAGATTGTTTCTAACCCATAGATATATTTCTTTTACTTAGCTTGTCCTACACTGATATTTGTTTGTCTTACTCACCTGGGAGATCTAGGTTGCCAGTTTCTCACGTCTAAGAATCTTACTCCTTACCTTACTCAGAATTTTCTGCATCTGTTTTCTTCATATCTCATATGTGGTTTTGGAATCATTAAGAACAAAAAAAATCATTCTACCACTCTTTGTCTACTACTAAAGTATGACAAATAGTTTTCAATCACTTTGGACTATTTAATCATATAGGGAGGAGTACTGTATTCATAAGGACAGGATCACCAGTTTGATTACTTAATTCCACATGCACAAAAGTTATTTTCCACCATCAAGTATTAACCCTGCTCTCAGATGTCACTGACACATGGCCCACTAGGTGGCCATACAGGGCATTTGGCTGGGCTCATTTAAAAGTAATGGCAGTAGGAAAAAAAAAGGCAAGACATTGTGTATGTCCTACGTGAGTCACACATAAACCAAGAGCACTTTCAGGATGTCAGATATTTCTGGACAAAGCTAAATTGCGGAGAGGCCCAATGACATAGGAGAAAAAACAACACTTTTGAAAAACACAATTACCCTGCTAAGCTCGAATTCCAGCTTTGTCAATTAGTTGCTATGAGAGCTTGAGAAAGTGACAGTTTCTTGATCTCACATTTCCTCATCTCCAAAATAGGAACAGTATCATTTTTTACATAGTGGTCTAGAAATATTCTCTTAACTCAGTTGACTAGCCGACATGAATATTTAATACATGATACTATTAGCAGTGGCGGTCGTCATGACCAGTGCCATAGTTTGGATGCATGTGTTCCTCCAAAATTCATATGTTGGAACATAACCCCCAAGGTGACGGTGTTAAGTAAGGCCTTAGAGAGACGATTAGTAGGCATGAGGGCTCTTATATCTCCATGAGGGATTAATGTCCTTATAAAAGGGCTTGATGAAGCAATTTTGTCCCTTTTGCCCTTCCGTCCTTCCCCCATGTGAGGACACAGCATTCACCCCCTCCACCAAGTGAGGACTCAGTAGGAGGGGCCACCTGTGAAGCAGAGAGCAAGGCTTCACCACACACCAAATCTGCTGGTACCTTGGTCTTCAACTTCCCAGCCTCCAGAATCGTGAGAAATACATTTCTGTTCTTTATACATTACCCAGTCTAAGGTAGTTTGTTACAGCAGCACAAATAAACTAAGACAATGAACATTCTTATTTTATCCTAGAACTTAAATTCCCAACTGGATTTCCTAAGTTCCACCCCTTTTAGGATCTTCTCACCATCATCACTTTTGAGAACCACATCATGAGTGGTAAGATTAAATCCATTAGCACAAGTCTAAAAACTTCTTTTGATAGGAGATTCATGGTTCTGTAGTTCATACATTTGACAGGACAGAGTTTTATCCATCAGTATGAGAGGAGCTGTTTCAAATGTTTATTAGAAATTAACCCTCTGAGGTGCTGCTTTCTTTAAAAATGGGCTCTAAGTATGACACCCCAATTTAAAACGGTGCCCTTCAAACTGGTGTTTGAAGGTAGAACAAACAAATTTAAGGTCACCATATCTGCAAGCAAATGTTTTAGATTCCCTTCAGGCTTCCCCATTCCTGATAAAATCCCATCTCAATAATTATTCTATAGCTGCTTCTAGCATCTTTGAATTAATCTTAATTTCCATTATATACTTTATATATAAAACATACACATATACACATTATATATAAAACTTTCTTAATTAGTGTGATAAAAATGAACATGGAATAACAGGTACATACATATAAAACATTTTATACTATCTGTAATGAATCATTAATCATATTGATGTTGCATAACAAATTTTATTTAATCTTTCTGCTTGAAGTGTAACTTTCTTCTCAAGGACAAGACTCTCAGATCCTTTTTCCTTCATGCTGTGCTGCAAAAAGCACAGACACTGTGTTCATACAGTTCTTTTCTTGAAGTTTGGCTCCCTCATTTACTGGCTGTCTGATGTTAGCAAGTTGCAGAAAGTCTATGAAGCTCAGCTTTATACTTGAAGTGTTGTGTGAGGATCAAAGGAGAAAGTGTGTTTGAGACACCAAGCATATTCCATGTACTTAATTCATGGTGGTTATTACTATATTCTGGCTTAATCTCCAAGTTCATTATCCACGTCAATAGTCACCTTGACATTAGGAAAAGTGTGTCCACTGACAAGGAATCATAAGATGAACAAAATGTGCCTCTTGATGGTGTAGCCATTGATGATGTGGGTCAGAATTCCAAAGATGACTCCCTAATATTCCTATCTTCTGGTAACTCAAACAGTCATCTACGCACTGCAGAGGTTCTGTTGTTGTAATTAAAGTCCCAAATCAGGTTGCCTTAAAATACCATGATTAACTGGCATGTGCCTCACTTAAGCACACACATCCTTTAAAAGGTGATGACAGCGGCATGATGGGAAGTCAGGAAGATTCAAAGCATAGGAAGGATTTGACGTGGCATTGCTGGCTTTGAAAATGGAAGGCCCACAAGCCTGGGAATATAGGTGGCCTCCAGAAGCTGACAACAGCTCCTGGTCAATAGCCAGCAAAGAAACAGGGACCTCAATCCTACAGCTGCACATGACTGAATTCTGCCGGCAACTGAATTGACTGACTCTTCTCCAGATTCCCAGGTAAGAACTCAGGCTAGCCCAACCCCTGAGTGTGGCTATGTGAGACCCTAAAGCAGAGGGTCCAGGACTTCTGGACTTCTCATCTGTAGAATTGTGAGCTAATAAATGGGTGCAGTTCTAAGCTGCTAAATATGGTAATATGTTACGCAGCAGTAGAAAACTAAGACAGCCATATTCTTTTCAGTTCTCATGCTTTCCATGGCATAATCTCTGCTTTATTTAAGTACTCAGTAAAGGTTTGCCCATGGCATGTTGAACTACTTCGAAGACACCTGTACTTATCTTTTAACAAAAGATTCCTTTTCATTATTTCTCATGGATCCTACTGATGAAAATAAAGATAAGCATATATTCAAGGAAATGCATTTCTACATCATTATCTGAGGACAATATTGGTGATGTCCCCTGGGTATTCAGGTTTTAAATGAGCCAGTTCAACAGTATCTTGATACATTTCCTGATGTGTCTCACACTCTTTTTCTTATATGCAAATTTTTCTATCTAGATTATATGCAAGTAAAGTTTAAATTCTATATTATTTCTGTGACGGAAAGTTATTGATCTTATAGCTATCATGTTGCTATCAGACAAATGTCCAATTCTAATTTATCTGTTAAGTTTATTTTAATTTTGCACTGTAAGCATCTGTGTCACACTAAAATTGTTTAAAGAAGTGTTTATGCAGGCTGTTTAAGAGGCAATGTGGAAAGAATAGTGACCAAGACAGAAAATTCTCTTGTATTTGAAGCTCTGTCCCAGAACTTGTAGCTGCTTGGCACTGGGCAAGTTACCGCTTCTCTCCGTTTCCCAGTAACTTCATCCAATACTTCAAAGGCTGTTGTGGGAATAATTGAGTTAATATATGCAAAGTACTTAAACAGCGCCTAAAACCATTAGAATGACACAAGTACCTGATGTTATTATGTAATTTCGCAAGTCTACATTTGAAATTTAAATACTGTCTTTATGTAGGATCTAATTACTTACAAGCGTCCCTTTGGCTGTGTCCTGTGAAATTTCATTTTTAAAACCTCTGATGGTAACAAAATTGCTTTGAATAATCTCTCTTAAATATTCTGGTATCTGTAAGGATCCACATTTCCAAAGACATTTTTAATTCAAAATGCTTCCTACCTTCAGAAGAATACCAGATTTTCTAGAAATTTTAAAAGTAAGATTCTGAATTCAAGGTCTGTATCTGCAACATGCCAATGGGAAGCTAGAGAGTAGTTAGTGTTCCCTGCAGAGTGACAGCACTTCCAATATTCACTCATGAGTCTCTTCTAAATTACCACTGAAACGTGCAGCTGAGGATCACATGCATGTCTGACCACTGAGCTGGAATATATAAGATGATATTTGAATTTGCTTTTCTGGGATTGAAAGGATAATACACCAGCGCCACCTAGTTGTCCAGATACAATGTGCTACTTATTTATTCTTGAAAGGAATTATGCTCTTACAAGTAGAAATGTAAAATTTTAATTTTTTTTACCATTGACATAGGCCCTGTATTTATTTTAACAAATTCTCATTTCTGCAAGTGATACAAGTGATAAATTCAAGGTTCCATTTAAGGTAAATATTCCTCATGTTTATTTTATTTATACAAGAGGATTGGCAAACCTCAGATACTAATCTTCATTAATTTGCTTTAATTTTGCTGTAAAAATATCTGAATTACTTAACACACCTGCCACATCAGCATATATCAGTTGTATATTACTGTGTGTCCCAGTATCTTAAGCGTCACATAGCAGAGCATATTCTTTCTATTAAAATTAAGATTGTATATGGGATATTCTGGAGGTGAAATACATTTTTTCACACACTGCATAAGAATTAAATGTTAATTCTGTAATAAGGTACACACGCAGTTAATGGTCTCTATTTTTTACTCAGCCTGAGCAATGTGCGGAGGTGGCTGAAGCCCCTTCAGTAAAATAATCGCGATGTGTATTTGACATAGCTGGTTCTGGAAGGCAGGAAGTTCTGCCAGGTCTCGGCTGGAATCAAACACCTAAGGACACAGACCTGAGATTGCTCTGCAGCCAGACGGAGCTGGAGTCAGGAACTCAGAGGGAAGAGAGATGCTTCAGGCAGTGAGGCCCAAGGCAACAAATGACTCCAATGTTTAGACAAGTTCTGGGAAGAAAAGAAACTGTACGTGCAAGCTACGCATCTGTCAGTAAGCCCTCATCTATGTGTTACTGCATGTTCAGACAATTTCAGGATACAGAACCTGAAAATCATATAACTGCTGAGTCATCGTCCTGTCTACTCACCATGACAGAGTCCTCCCAAATGGAAACTGGTTGCCAGCCCCCCACTCTTCCTTTTTCTAATAAAGCAGCTGATACATTATTGTCCCCACTGGGCTCAGTCACTAGCTAAACATGCTGCTGTGGGAATAGTTTTGGGGATAAGATACACAAAACATACAACAGGATGGGGCAAAGAATTAGAGAAACATCAACTTGGAAAGAAGGATGTGACAATTCCCTCTTCTCTTGGGAAAGTGAAAGTGAAAGCTTTTCCACATAGCAGAGAGAGAGAGTGGTTCACACTGTGTCCTGCATCCCTGTGACCTTTTATCTCACCATTGCTTGTTATATCACCCAGATTGTCACCTCACGGGGAGATCCTTGGGACCTGCAGCCTCATCCCTTCTGCTTCCTTCTGACCTAGGAGTCACCTCACGTGTTGGACTGTGGCTGAACTTCAGTGCCCAGTCCTCAGCAGCGGCAGATCTCAGCTCCTGCAACATTTGTTCCAAGATACAAGACACTGTGTGCAGATAATTACGTAGCTTTTGAAATTCTAGCAAAAGCTAAATTCTTCAGTAAGGGAAAAATAGTTACAGAGTGCTTATAGGCAGGTGTAGGAATTTTATGTACAAATACAAAATATACTTTTTCTAAATATTTCCAAGTCCTTTTGGCCCTGGCTTAAAAAAAATGATTTAACATTTCTTATTAAATATGCAATTTGGTTCAAACTAAGAATATGTGTAGCCTTGAACAAGACATGCAGCATCTTTAGGCCTCTGTGAAAATGGCGAAGTTGGGTGACAAGACCACTCAGCATCCCACATGTCTATTGCATGTCAGTTTTCTACTAACTATGGACTATGCTCACAAGAAAAGTGGTGGAGAAAGAGAAAGTACACCCAAGATGCTTCTTTTCAGCTCTTCTTTCCTTCCTTTTTATAAAGCATATTATTATTATTATTGTTATTTAGAGACAGGGTCTCACTCTTTCACCCAGGCTGGAGTGTAGTGGCATAATCATGGTTCACTGCATCCTCCAACTCCTGAGCTCAAGCAATTCTCAGGTCTCAGCCCCTCAAGTAGCTGGGACTACAGGTGCACACCACCATGCCTTGCTTCTTCTTCTTCTTCTTATTTTTTTTTATAGAGAGGGATTTTCACTTTGTTGCCCAGGCTGGTATTGAACTCCTTGCTTCAAGTTATACTTCCGCCTTGATTCCCAAAGTGCTGGGATTATAGGCATGGGCCAACTGCACCCACCAAATGTTATTTTTAGTCCAAGGTAGTACGATTTCTCTCCTTCCTTCCATCTTTTCCTCCTTATTTTGTCTTGAACCCATCTACTTAATAAAAATAAAGACACGTTTCTAGGCCTTACAAAGCCTCCCTTCTTTACCAGAAAATTTAAATACTTAGAAAAAGTAAAAACCACAAAGACCACTTTAAATCAAAGATAACATTTGCAAATCACTGTCCTAATGAAATAGTGCATTAAAGTTATGAAAGTCATTTAAAAATAGAAGACATTTTAAACTTTTAAGATTTAAGATTACGCCTGTAACCCCAGCACTTTGGGAGGCCGAGGCGGGCAGATCATGAGGTCAAGTGATCCAGACCACTCTGGCCAACATGGTGAAACCCCGTCTCTACTAAAAATACAAAAATTAGCCAGGCGTGGTGGCAGGCGCCTGTACTCCCAGCTACTTGGGAGGCTGAGGCAGGAGAATTGCTTGAACCCCAAAGGCGGAGTTTGCAGTGAGCCAAGATCATGCCATTGCACTCCAGCCTGGTGACAGAGTGAGACTCCATCTCAAAACAAAAAAAAAAAAAAAAAAAAAAGAAAAAGAAATCTGAGCCTTTGTTCTAAAACAAAAACTACAAAAGCCTAAAAAGATAGATAGCAACCTTATGTCTTCAAGGTACTAAAATGTCTCTACTTTTTAAAACATTATATTTACAAATTTTATATAAATTCATAGTACATTTTGAATCCAACTTGTCAATTCACTCAGATGTTTCCACAGCTATAGGCCTTGGAGCCTATCCCACTGATTAAAGATAGGGACTAGCACATGATTAAACCAAAATAACTTCATTTACTTTTACTGTTTCCCTTGAAAGGATGCCTTCATACTCCTTATAATCAGAGGTTAAAAATAGAGAACATATTGAAACATAGAGACCTTGCTATCACAACTACAATCAAAGCCAGCAAGTTAATATAAACTAGCCACTTGAGTATATAACTGCAACATATACAGAGTTAAATACTCATTGGGATCAATATAAATGTGAGGAAATTCAGTCAATAATATTGAAATCATACGGTCACTATTTTCCCCTAGTGTAGTGATTTCAGTACTTGGGAATACACCATGCTATGGTCTGAATGCATACGGCCGTCCAAAATTCTTACGTTGGAACCTAATACTCAAGATGATAGTATTAAAATGTGAGGCCTTTTGAGAACTCATTAGGTCCTAAGCGCTCCATCCTCATGAATGGATTAGTGCTCTTATAAAAGAGGTGACTAGAGCATCCTAGTGCCTTTTGCTCTTTCTGCCTTTCTCCCTTATGAGAATAAAACAAGATGTCATCCTGGAAGCAGATAGCAAGCTCACCAGACACTGTGTCTGCTAGTATCTCGATCTTGGACTTCCCAGCCTCCAGAACCATGAGAAATAAATTGTTATTATTTATAAATTATGCAGGTATATAGCAGCACAAATGAACTGAGACACAGGGTCTGTGGCAGAGATTGCTAACGAATCACCAAAGCTGTTATATCTCCTTCCTGGAAATGAAGCCTAAATCATATTTTCTTTTCTTCTTTGCAGTAAGGTGCAGTAATAGGTTGTAAGTAGAAGTAATGTACACCTTGTACATACCTGACCCATTAAAAAAAAAAACATCTTCCAGCCAGGCATAGTGGCCCATGGGAGGATTGCTTGAGGTCAGGAGTTCAACACCAGGATGGGCAACATAGTGAGATTCCATCGATACTAAATTTTTTTAAAAAAGTAGTCAGGTTTGGTGGCACATGCCTGTGGTTTGGGAGGATGAGGCAGGAGGATTTTAAGCCCAGGAGAGACTACAGTGAGCTGTGATCAGGCCACTGCACTCCAGCCTGGGTGACAGAGTGAGACCCTGTCTCTTTAAAAAAAAAAGAAAGAAAGAAAGAAAAGAAAAACAAAACAACAACAATAAAACCTTCTGTGTTATTCCTCACTGCCTGCTTGACACAAGCATGGAGACCCTTCAAAGTCAAATGCTGAATATGACTGGGACACAGGATGGAAAGAGCCTGGATTCCTGAATCACCATGTGAGGAGAGTCCTCCTATGACCAGCAGCAGCTATTTTGGATTCAACGTGAAGGGAAAATATAGTTTTGTTAAGCCACTGAGATTTTGGAAATTATCTTTTCCAGAAGCTAGTAATACCTTAAGCAATATAGAAATTGATACCTTCAAAGTACTATGGTAAAGTAAAAGTACCTGGTATTGTCCTGGCAAGAAATAAAAACAGGAGGTTGGAAAGATGTAGAACCATGTTACAGAGTGGTCTATGGTAACCTGGAAGGCAGAATAACCGTACCTCTGGATGGAACTAATGGAAGAAGGAAGAGTCACGGTATGTGTTGGCATTACTTTCAGTTTTTAGCAAAGTATTATAAGAAAAGGATGAGTTAAGGCAGATTCTAAGCAGGAAGGTAAAGAACTTCAGAGAGTCTAGAAATATGGGAGCTATAAGATTTTGAAAAGCCAATTGTTCTAGACTTCAAACAGTAAAAGGTAAGGATTAAAGAGGCTTTGAAAAACAAAGCCCATTAAGAACCCGACAGGGTCACAAATAGGATTAAATGTACGGACTCCTACCAAGTCCATTATGTCCAATGGCCTCAGGTTGGCTGCTAAATGAGGTAGTGGGGGTGCGGGGTGGAAAGAGAGGGAAAGAGAGGGAAAGAGAGGGAGAGAGAGGGAGAGAGAAGGAGAGAGAGGGAGGGAGGGAGAGGGAGGGAGAGGGAGGGAGGGAGAGGGAGGGAGAGGGAGGGAGGGAGAGGGAGGGAGGGAGAGGGAGGGAGAGGGAGGGAAAGGGAGGGAGAGGGAGGGAGAGGGAGGGAGAGGGAGGGAGAGGGAGGGAGAGGGAGGGAGAGGGAGGGAGGGAGAGGGAGGGAGAGGGAGGGAGAGGGAGGGAGGGAGAGAGAGGGAGAGAGAGGGAGAGAGAGGGAGAGAGAGGGAGAGAGAGGGAGAGAGAGGGAGAGAGAGGGAGAGAGAGGGAGAGAGAGGGAGAGAGAGGCCAAAAGAGAAATCAGTCATGAGAATTATGCCTGAGAAAGAACTTTGGGTTTGGTTGCTGGTACATAAAAATTAACTGGAAGCAAATAGAGAAGTCTATTAGGTTACTAAGGTAATTGCATGACCAAAGAAACCACAAATCCAGGCTCAAACAGCCTTTGACTCTTTGAATTTTAATCACATCCTCAGGCTTTCTTGCACGAAGAAGAAAGATTGTGAAAACCTGGGAAGAGAACATGTGCTAAACAGATTCCTGCCTTTGGAGAATACAATAAAAAACAACGAGGAAAGTCTCAGTGGCAAAACAGAACAATACACAAGCAAATTGCCCCAGAATTCTGAATCAGGAACCAATCAAGGGACTTTTCCCACCACCAGGTCGAGAGAACCTCTCTGCGACCACCCAGAAAAATTTCGTCATTGCCTTGCCCGGCTACTGCTGTGTCCTCCTCTTCTTTCCTTTTCTAGAGGGGAATATTTTCCCCATTGTCTTATCCTTGTCTCACCATCGTGCATTATCTGTCCAGGAGGGACTGATAATAATTGTGTTTTTCCTTCTTAGATCTCCAAAACACAAGAACCAATGATAAAAACGGCAAATTTACATGCCTACAGAGAACAGGTTGGTAGCAGAGGTAAATATTTTAAGAATTTTGGAGATTGTATTGGATGGGAGAGTAAGAGTACATTGCCAACACTCAGCTTCTAAAGATGTTTTGCCATGAATCGCCACTTCTTTCCAGTTTTTAAAAAGATGACAGAAATCTGGATTGTTATGTGATGTTGGATCAAAATTTCAAAAGGAGTTTCATGGGCTCACAGAAACATTTGCGTAGTCAAACATGGCCTGTGGGCTGCCTATCTCCTATCTTTGACATGGTGTTTTTCAGACTAATCAAATAGACAATGCCAAAATAAGAGGATCATAAGTAATTGATTATCCAAGGGTCAAAGACTTGGAAGAATACCACTGATTTTGCTAGGTGATCTAAACTATAATAGTGAGTCATTATATAAATATTTCAAACACTCAGATATCCCACCAAGAAAAGCCTTTATGTGTGGTTGTCATAAGTGCTATGGTGTCAAGTTTTTTGTTTTTAACAATAGGGCTCGAAACCAAAAATAAAAAATCAACAGAACAATGAACTTGGAAATTAGAGTCATAAACGTGAGTTTATAGGGAGACAAGCTTCTTTATTTCTCATCTGCTCAGCCTGGATTAGCACAATCATTAGGCTGGAAACAAGTTTGCTGAGATTATTGTTTGAGGCTCTCATTTTGAAAATGAACCTTGTTAATAAAGACCAACCTTGAAATCTATAGGCATCTGAGTTTGTAATTTTGGTACCTAAGGACATGGCTTTATTTTGAGGTTAGTCTTGCAAAAAGATTTGTTTGTTTTTTTGTTTTTTTGTTTTTTTAAATGAAATAGCAGGCTTTGACAAAACAGAAATTTTAAGATGCCAAAATAACAACACTGAGCAAGATCAACATTGTAATGTATGTTTCTATTAAGAATAGCACTCATGGAATACATTCAAATTGACTGTTTTGAAAACCTCTGTTGTACATTCCATCACTCTGCTGCTTTAAATACATATGAATTTTCCCATAAAATGACAATCTATTGATAAGAAAATAGAGCAAGTCGACAGCAGTAAGTCAATTCTCTCTACTTGCTTTTTTCCCATTTGTGTTTTTTACCTTACTTTCAGAATCAAAGCAAAATCCTAGTCATTTAAATTGCATCTTTATTAGTAATAGTGTAAAAATATCAGCAAATGAAATCAGCTGCAACTATGATGTTTTGTTTACTGTTTTTCTCTATTTGTGGCTTTTTCTAAATTAGTTATTTTGATCAGAATGCTTATAGACAATAGACAAAATTAAGTTATTTCCGTATCACTCCATGCTCTGAAGCTATGTAGATATTTCAACTTCATATGATTTGTGAAAGTGCAACCTAAATATTTAAACAGTCTCATAATCAGAGAAGCATAACTGGAATAAAAGAGAATTATTCTGAATCCCAAAATATATTATTATTATTTCACAGCTTTATGTGCCCCATCTTGCCCTCAAGTATACAACAGACCTGTTTTTAGAGAATTAGAGGAAACCTACACCCGCTATCTGGTTCTTCTGTCTTAAGTACGAGAACACAACCAAAACTGCTAGACATGTGGGCAACAAGCACCAGGAAAAAGACCAACATAAATAAATTGATATTAAAAAGAAAGATATTTGGAAAGATACTTCATCAACTAAGCAGGACTTTTAAAATCCTCAAAAATTCTCACTGACTGCTTCTTGGTGATATTATCAGTAAAGTCATTTTTCTCTGCTGTATCTCCAAATGCTGGAGCTCCCTGGGCTTGGTACTAGACACCTGTCTCTTCACTTCTTTTTCTATACCTTTTCCCAAAATTATCACATCCAGTCCATGGCACCAAGTAACATCTACACGCTGATGATGACTCTCAACTGTGTGTTTGCACTTTTGACCCCCTCTTCCAAAACACAGACTTACATATCTGATGCCTACATTGTATCTACATTTATTTCAATTTTCAAGTTTCTCAATATTCTCCCAAACACACCCCAATCTACTTTTCACAAGTCTTTCTCATATCTATAAATGTCCTGGCCCAACTACCCAAGCCAAAATGTATGGCATTTTAATTTTTTTCTTTTACCTCCCATACTGGACCTATATTACTGCTTCCTCAACTTGGAAGATTCTTCCCCCTGACAAAAACTCTCCCTTGAACAGTACTTTAGAAATCTCCCGGAGTCCTTTCTGAGTAGGCCTGACCTTCAGCTTCTCTCTCAATTCTCCCTGCTCTTGTAGAATTTGGTTTGAAAAAGAATGCTTCCAAGTGAAAATTCCGTATATTTTATATCTGACCACCCTAGATAGCTCATCACCCTGGCCTGCCTTCAGCAGTAAGTCTGTCATGTCAAGTCTCTTTAGCCAGAAACCCCTTATCTTTGATGTTTCTTCTTAGGAATTTTCCATGCACTGACCCCACCCTGCTCCTTGGTTCAAACCCTCATTTGTTCTTGTTGGATCCCCAGTTGAATCCAGGCTTTCTCCCTTGTTCAAGACCCTGTTGCAGTGTTCCCTCTACCTATCACCATGGACACCCTTGAGTCAAGTCTGCCTTACAAACAAGTGCCATGGATAATTTATTCTTTAACATCCCAGATCTTGCCATTGGGTGCCTTCTTATCTGTCATGTCTCAACCAGTATGCCATCTTTATAACGACACCTTCCTTGATGGCTCAATCTGAAGGAGCCCCTCCAACAGTCACTGATTTTCTTCTAACCATGCTTTATTCTCTTTATAGCAGAAATCTCTATCTGAATTTGGTGTTTCTGCATATTTTCTTTACTTGCAATTAGAAAGTTTAAGGGGGAAAAATGGTACAAGGATATTATAGTCCACATACAAAGTCCAGATACAAAGCAAACAAAATTGTGATGCAACCTAAAGCACTGATGTATAAAAGAAGACACAGGCCGGGCATGGTAGCTCACACCTGTAATCCCAGCACTTTGGGAGGCCGAGGTGGGCGGATCACCTGAGGTCAGGAGTTTGAGACCAGCCTGGCCGACGTGGTGAAACCCCATCTCTACTAAATATTCAAAAATTAGCCAGGCATGTTGGCGGGTGCCTGTAATCCCAGCTACATGGGAGGCTGAGGCAGGAGAATCACTTGAACCCAGGAGGCAGAGGTTGCAGTGAGCAAAGACCGCACCATTGCACTCCAGCCTGAGCAACAAGAGTGAAACTGTCTCAAAAAAATTAAAAGATGACACAATATTAGAACAGAAAGAAAGAAAATCTTAGTATACTTCTTGTCCTGATATGAAATAATATTAACATACTTTTGATAGTGTAAATTATTGGTTTAGAGGCTATGTACACATATTTACATAAATGTATACACACAAAAATATGCATAGACAGAATGCAAAACATGTACTGTGTGGCTAGGCATACATTAAACAATCCTGACAGCATAAAAGTAACAGAAAATAAGACGTTAAAAGAAAATGATAAAGGAAAAGCGAGGGCACTAATAGGATTATCAAGAGATACTGTTAAAAGCATATGGCAAAGAAGTGAATGTTTTCAATATCTTAGTAACAATATATCGTATTATTCTGTTCTTACATTGCTATAAAGAAACACATAAGACTGGCTAATTTATAAAGAAAAGAAGTTTAATTGGTACATGATTTGGTAGGCTATCCAGAAAGTATCTGCTGGGCTTCTGGGGAGGCCTCAAGTAACCTACATGGTGAAACCCCATCACTACTAAAAAAAAAAATACAAAAATTAGCCAGATGTGGTGGTGCACATCTGTAATCCCAGCCACTAGGTAGGCTGAGGCTTGAGAATTGCTTGAACCCGGGAAGTGGAGGCTGCAGTGAGCCGAGATCATACCACTGCACTCTAGCCTGGGCCACAGAGCAAGACTCTGTCTCAAAAAAAAAAAAAAAAAAAAAGAGAAAGAAAGAAACCTGCAATCATGGTGGACAGTGAAAGGGGAGGCAGAACAGAAGGAAGAGAAAGGGAGCGGGGAGGTACTGCACACTTTTAAACAACCAGATCTCAGGACAACTACCGCCGACATAGCACCAAGGGGGATGGTGTTAAACCATGAGAAACCACCCCTATGCTTCAATCACCTCCTACTAGGCCCCACTTCCAACAATGGGGGCGACAATTCAATATGAGATGTGGGCAGGGACACAGATCCAAACCATATCATATTTCAAACGTTGGGAGGCAAGTAATGAGGAGGGACTGAGTCCTCCTCTTTTATAAATAAGAATAAATAGATAATTGTCTGAAATTGAAGTCAGAAACACACAAATACGGAAGGACAGAAAAACTTGCTAGAATTTGCCTCTGGGAAGTGGGATAGGGACAGGAATGGAGGAACATGGTTGCGTTGCTTTCCCTAAGTTTTTCTGTACTGTAGTATTTACTCATATTTGAATGTAATGCTTTGATTTTTCAAAAAAAAAGTGTTAAACAGAAATTGCTGATGCTCCTTCATTTTAGATACATTCCTCAACAAATCGTCTTCATAAAACATTCTTTTGCTATACTATCCTGTGCTCAGCGTCCTCTTTATGTGCAGAATCTTTTGTAGTTGCTATATCTGTGTGTTCTCACCTTGAATAGGGAAAGTTGTGGCCAGTTGAGAGAGAAAAATAAAATCCTAAATGGACTGAACAGAATCGCTCTTGGTCAAAAGGACCCCAGGGAAACCTCAAAAACATCCAGGCAATGATGGAATAGGTCAGACACATCTCTCCCTTGCTGTCAACAGGCTTTCTTCCCTAAGGGTCTAACCGAAACTAGTCTTTTTGAAAGACACACTCCACTGCTGACATCAACCAACTGCCTGATGCTGCTTCTCCTTTTGGTCGTTTTCACACAGCAATTGACCAGCATTCCATCCTGATAAGAGACCACTGACCATGGAGCAGTTCTGGCCAGACTACAGAGGTTGTGCACAGAGGACGTTCGTGTCCCTGCTTCACCTTTTGATGCATAGGGCCTAACTATAATGCACTTAAATGTTAAGTCTCCACCCCAAAGTGAACATGGGACGCATGTTGTACATGTTAGCCTACTCTATTACACATGCATGAGCCTCCCCTCCATGAATATTCATAGCTCCTCCTTTAACTACATATTCCTGTTGAATATGTAAACTTAGCCAACCCGTTCGCCATAAATTCCTGTATGCTTTACTGCTCCCTGGAAGTGCTTGCTGTCAGCTTCTGACCAGAGGCTATACATCCTAGCCTGCAAGATGGTCAGCCTATGGGCTATGACCTTTTATGACAAATAAAGCTCTCCTTTCCGAATTTATGAACCTCATGATTCTTCAGTTGACACCAAGAATACTGTTCATCCATAAATAGTTTTGGCAGATCTTATTTAGCTTCCCTCCTTACAACCCTCCTGTGACTGTCAGAATCCTCTTTTCGAACATTAACCTAGAAGGCAGTCCATCCATGTGGATGACCAAATAGCCAGTTTCCATCAATCATTTTTCGGGAGTGGCTCTAAACCAATCACGTATCTGGGTTTTGCTGGATTAGAGAGAAATCTTTTTCCTGCTCCCTGGTTAGACAACCAAGTGGAATTTATTGTGAATAAGCTGAAGTCAGCCATTCTTCCCTTGCCAGAGAAGGTACATGAAAGCCAACATTCTTCAAGGAGCCTAACACTCTTGGTTCTTCCAGGTTTTGCTTCTATGACCAAATTCACATTTTGGAGTGAAGCAAGCACTAACCACTTCTGTGCCTGTTTGTTTGGCATTATTTCAATCTGTAGTTTCTGAATGAGTATCTAAAGAAATGGCCACGGGGAGGTGTCTGACGAAAAGATCTGAGCCAGGAAGCACTTTCCACACAGTGGAAGGAGGATTTCCTTCCTTTGTTCAATGGAATTCTCTAAGGAAGAATTTTTCAGGCAAAGTATATAGAAAAGTGTTTTATTTTCTCCCTGCTTTGGTACTGTAGGGCCTTGCCAGGCTCTGGGAATGAAAATATGCCTCAGGATCTGAGAGAACAATGACCCTAATGGGCTATGGCGCACTTAGAATGGGAGAGGACAAACTTGCTTCCATTGCCACCAACAGGTCCGTTTGCTTGTGCTTCAGGGTACTGTGGGAGGGGTGTTCCGGGAGGGTGGCAGGCCCAGAAAGGGTATGGAAGCTCTGCACCCTTTCCCCATACTTCATTTTATGTGCCTCTTCATCGGGCTGTTCATCTGTATCCTTTTAATCCTTTGTACTAAACTGGTCAACCTAAGTGTTTCCCCAAGTTCTCTGATCCCTTTGAGCAAACTCATGAAACTGGGGAGGGATTGTAGGAATCTCACATTTACAGCCAAGATAAACAGAAGTGTAGGTACCACGAGCACTCCAGACTCACAACTGATGTCTAAAGTGTAGGCAGTCTTGTGCGACTGAGCCCTTCACCTGGCGGTAGGGCAGTTTCCTGCTAACTCTGGACACCAGTTGGTGTCCCACACTTTAATTGCTGGAAAATTGCTCCATTTGGTGTCAGAAGTGATGTGAGTAGGAGAACAGTTTTTCCTTCTAGAGTGTCCTTTGTCCGTTATATATCCTGCATATCTGCCTTAAGCTGTGCCATTCGCTATTTTTCCTTATGCATGAGGTTTTGCAAAAACATATATGCCCTCACCATATTTGTAAGAAGATGTGAGAAAGACTGAAATCATTTTAAAACCAGTCATATTGGGTAAAATCCATCCAGTCATCTGAATTGTAACCACCTTTAAACAAAGAGTAATATGGATACAATTATTTTCAACAATCATAAGAAATAGTCACTCAGCTAATAAACATTATCTCCCAATGCCTCTCATGTTCTGGGTTTCCCTTCCTAAATCTCTCAAGCTATACAGACTATTTATTTCTGTTTGAAATGTATGCCAGAAAACCATCTAACAGCTTCACATCTGATCTCAGGAAAGCTAATCCCAGGCCTATTATTAATAGCTTTCTAAAAGAGTTTAATGCTATTTTTGTTTGTATTTTAAATATAGCAGTAGAAAATATCAACTTACATTCTTGGGACTAGTATAAGTGAGGATTGTTGATTTTCACATAAAGAATCTAAGGATAATTGCATTATTAAATCTCCCCTTGACTGGGTTTGGGACACATGAAATACTTCATTGTGAGGATTGTATATCTGTAATTATTTTAAAACTTATACACAAAATCACTTCCATACAAGCAAATATTATAAATAAATCTAATGCAAATCCTATTCCACATTTATATGAATATATGCAATTATAAAAATATTTCTTTCACGTAGATTTTTCTAAATTAATTTTAAATAAAATTGCTGTTTCCTCTTCTTATTGGAAACTTTAAATACCTAAGTAGTTATGTGTACCTATGTCTTCACAGGGAAAAATTTAACATGAAATTTCTAGCAAAGCATAATAGAAATCTGTTTATGTCTCTCTATTCTATTCATGTGCTGAAAATCAACTCATAATCCCAAAAACTATAATACGCTTGCTGTTAGACTTCATTCTTCTATCAAATTTCCATTGACACTGCAAACTGTATGCAATAAAATAGCTCCTTTGAATGTGCATTTTCATCTGAATGTGAAGACTGTGAGGGAGACTGTGAAATCTGAATCACAACTGTATGCCTCGCTCAGATCCATCCTGCAGGCTTCCCCATCTCCATGGAAGCACATAAGGGCAGGCACAGAATGATTTGACTTCACATGCAAGGGAGCATAGAGAAGAGAAAAGAGACCAGCATGACTATCAAATCACTTATCTAAGGTTGCAACCACATGAAAGTTTCAGTCAACTCTAGCACAACTTCCCTTAAGTATTACAGTAAAAAGTTTCCTTGCTTATGAACTATCATAATAAAAACTTGATACAGAAGCACAGAGTAGAACAATGGTTACCAGAGGCTGGGGGAGTTGGGATGGTGAAAGTGAAGAGTTGCTGATCAAAGGGCACAAAATTTCCGACAGGAGGAATAGATTTTGGAATCAATTTTGAGATTCACTGCACACCAGGGTGATTGTAGTCAATAATAGTGTATTGCATATTTCAAAATAACTAAGAGTAAATTTAAAATGTCTCACCATAAAAAAATAGGTGAGTTGATGGATATGTTAATTTGCTTTATTTAATCATAGCATATTATACACATCGTAACATTGTACCCCATAAATGTATACAGCTATGATTTTTCAATTAGAAAAAGAATTTAACGGCCAGGTGCGGTGGCTCACGCCTGTAATCCCAGCACTTTGGGAGGCTGAGGCGGGCGGGTCACGAGGTCAGGAGATTGAGACCATCCTGGCTAACACGGTGAAACCCCATCCATACTAAAAATACAAAAATTAGCCGGGCACAGTGGCGGGCACCTGTAGTACCAGCTACTCGGGAGGCTGAGGCAGGAGAATGGCGGGTGAACCCAGGAGGCAAAGCTTGCAGTGAGCCAAGATCGCGCCACCGCACTCCAGCCTGGGTGACAGAGCAAGACTCCGTCTCTTTTAAAAAAAAAAATAAAAAAAAAAAAATAAGAATTTGACTTTGTAAAATTGTCTCAAAATGTTGCCTTAGCCAATATCTACAGTCAGTCAGAATAAAAGTGCCACTATCATCTATGAAATAGCCTAAAAAGGAAAAAAAAAAAAAAAAACTGATTTACCATCTATGAAATAGCCTAAAAATAAAATTTTTTAAAAAAGCTTAGAATTGCCTAGCTCATCAAGATAGATAAATTTATGGAAATAACTAATTTTATTCTATGGTTAAGCAAAGGGACTTAAATTTCCAGGGTTTTATTATTTGATAAAAATAAAGTTTTTCCAGATTCCTGACACAAGTGGCTAAAATAACTAAAATTGTTTTAATTATAGTTAATTTTATATTTAGAAATTCCATGTGATTTCTTTTCAATTCAGCTTGGTATTTTTACTATGTTTTCAATGGCTTTTTACTTTTATATTGTATTATTTTTATTTTTATATACTATATTTTTCTTTATTTTTATGAGACAGAGTTTCGCTCTTGTTGCCCAGGCTGGAGTGCAGTGGCACGATCTCAGCTCACTACAACCTCCGCCTCCCAGGTTTAAGGGATTCTCCTGCCTTAGCCTCCTGAGTAGGTGGGATTACAGGGCCCACCACCACGCCTGGCTAATTTTTTGTGTTTTTAGTAGAGACGGGGTTTCACCATGTTGGTCAGGCTGGTCTCGAACTCCTGACCTCAAGTGATCCGCCTGCCTCAGCCTCCCAAAGTGCTTGGATTACAGGCACGAGCCACTGCACCTGACCTATATACTACCTTTTATGTAAAGGAATATATATAATTAATGTATGCTTTAAAGAGAAATACATGAATGAAAAATCCACGTTCACGTCCAGGCATCTTAAGAAACAGAAAATTATCGGTATTTTGAAGCCTTATGACTGTCCTCCCTAGCCCCCATTCTCTTTTCTCCCCTACAGAGGTAGCTCTGCTATGAATTGTTTGTACATCATTCTCTTGTCTTCATTGTTTTAATATATGTGGATTTATCTCTGATTAATATTTTAATTTACATTTTTGCATTTTACATAAAAGAAATAATGGTGTATCCATTTATTTTGAAGTTGCTACTTTTACTCAACATTTTTGTTTTTGAGATTGAACGGTAGGTCATTCGTCTTTCCTGGTGTATAGTGCATTACTATATAAATATTCCAAAATTTATTTTTCAATTCTGTCAATAAACATTTGTATTATTTCCAGTTTTTTTGTAATTACACATTATGACTTCTGTGAACATTTCTGTACACATCTTCCATACGTGTATATCTAGCCCAGAGATAGCTAGGTCACAGGATAAACACATTTGCAACTTTCCCAGTAATGCCAGAATAAGCGCCTGCTGTTCTGCATTCTTGTAAAAAAAAAAAAAAAAAAATTCAGTTTCACTTTTTGTTTATAGCCAACATCATTGGTATAAAATGTTGTGATTTCAACTTGATTACCCTGATGGCTAATGAGGATGAATACCTTTTCCTAAGCATATTGGCCACTTGAGGCTTAGTGAAATTCCTGTTTGTATGTTTTGCTATCTTATTGTCTTCTCATTGATTTTTTAGAAATATATATGGAATACTAATTTAGGTTGTATGTCTGACAGATCTCCTTTCATTTTAGCTTATTTTTAACACTCTGGTGTTTTGGAATAATGCTTTAAATTTATGTTCATTTATTTACCTACAGACAGGATCTTGCTATTTTGCCCAGGTGTAACTCCAACTTCTTGACTCAATCCATCCTCCCACCTCAGCCTCCCGAGTAGCTGGGATGATATGCATGCACCACGACATGTAGCTTGGGATGATTTTTTTTTTTTTAATTATAACTTGCCCTTTTCCCCTGTATTTAATTTCAATTTTACTTCTTTAATTATTAAGACATATTTTGTATTTCACACAAATAAATCTATTATTGGGGGATTCTAAGTATAATTTTGGTTGGTTGGTTGATTGGTTGTTTCTGCTGAATCTTACATGTGGTGACTAGCTTTACTTTGTATTTTTTAATTTCATATTTGGGGCCCATCTTTACTGTGGATACCTAGTACAAGTTAAATCGAGTGCACAGGCCTCCAGCAGCATTTGTATCTGCTTCTTCCAGCACTTCTAACCTGGGACCACTTAAATTCATTTCTCAGCTTAGGGTTTCCTGGACATTAACGTGAGAAATTCAAACTCTAAACCCATTTGAAAACAGTGAATGTTCAGGAATTTTTTGTGCAAAATGGAAGAGGCATTTTTTTTCCCCCTAGAGTCCAGGCAGACACATTTTCTTTGCCATTTCCTTTCGCAGACTGGCAGATTATTTTCAAATATAGTCTTTTGAGAGTATACATTTCAAGGGTCACAGATGTACATGTGGAATTCTCAGTGCTGCCTCTATACCTGGAAATGCTCCAAAGCTTGTATGTTTTCCCTATAGTCCTTAAAACTATGCCTCTTATTTAAGGAGACTGGCATATGCCCCTCAGGGCAGCCATAGTTCAGCATTTTCTCACTTCTGCTTTTTGGCTTCCTTGTCATTTGGGGGTCTGGGAGTTTCCTTTTCTTGAAACTCAGCTATGCCATTAAAACAATTTTGTTACAGTCTATCCAACATTTCTGTGGTTTTGTAGAAGGAGGTTTCTTAGATAATCTTTTTTTCGTTTGTTTCTAGAAGCAGCAGTCTTAAATGAATGTTGTACTTATTTCTTCCTTTGCCTAATAATGTCAGATCAAATAAGTGATGTTAATGCTAAAAATAACAAAGGAAGGAAAGAAGGAGAGATGAAAGGAATTTACAGATAGGAATAACGGGTTACAGTCTTGTTTTTCTCCACAGATGGGGTCTCATTGTCTTGCCCAGGTGAAGTACACGGGTGTGATCATAGCTCACTGAGGCCTTACACTCATGAGCTCAAGAGATCCTCCCACCTCAGCCTCACATGTAGCTGAGATTACAGGTGTGAGTGTAATTTTAAGCCCAAGAGGTGGCTAAAGGTAGGTACGGAGGTTATCATGTTCCCTGGAAAATGTCCATGCACATGAACAAACTAGGAACTTAGTCCTTTGCAGGAACCAATCTTCTCAACGGAGTGTGAAGGGATAAATTTAGTCCCCCTAGAACCTTCATTCTTAGCCATATGATGCACATTTAATTTCTGAACAGATTTCCATTTGAGCTGTTCTTTCCTTCCATTTCGGAATTGCAGAGGTGTTACTCAGGCTCTGAGTCTTTTCACTATTAGTGACATTAGTCCGGACATCTCCACCAGGCACCTGCGAAGAGACTAACACAGGGACATCTTCTCTCCTCCACTTCCACCACCCTAGGGCCATCTGGCTCTCCATGAAGAATTGTGTGAGAGAAGTGGAAGAGCAGAGGGCTGGTTAGCTTGACAAGGAGCTGCCTCCACTATGCACACCTACAGAAGGCATCCCCCAGCTCTCTGAAGCATGTGCATTGTGTCCAGATGCTGCTACCCAGCTTCCTTGGCTGTCCCAGGCTGATACATTCCCCAGATTTCACAGCCAGAGCTTTCTGACCAAGATGTACTTCTGGTCAGAAGCCAGTGTTCCTTTGCTGTAATTAGCATAACATGGACAAAACCAGGATAAACTGCTCTCCCTTGAGACAGTAGTGCATTTCCAGGAATCCCTACACACATGGTGGGGTGAAATAGTCAAGTTGTGTTTGAAGGCAGAGAGTCTTGGTGTGACCGGCATGTAAATTCTCAAGTACATTGCACTCTGTATAGTAATGGGCCATAGTATTTATCCCAGAACAATGCAAGAGAGGTAGTTGGTTGTACATAAGCATGCTTACATATCCATCTTTATAGTTTTTACATGTTAACATCAGTTTGTTACTATCCATATAAAAAGGTTTCATTGTGGATAAGCCCTACCTGTATTTAATCCCAGACTGCTATATTCTGACACCTATTTCAAATAGGCTTATTTAACGCAGTCTACAATAAAGAAATTTATTGTAATAGTAACATAAACATATATCATCAGTATGGTAAGTCAGCTGCCCCCCAAAAAGTCTGGCAGTGCATTGCAAATGTAATTGATTACATTATCTATTTGTATAGACATAATACACATAATAACATGAGCAAATTAAATTTATATAATGGATACTATGGTCTGTCTACCTTCCATCCAATCCCTTTTTCATCCTTCCAAACAGAACCTCATATTTCTTTCCCCACAGAGCCAAATGCATCTGAGTAAACTAACTTGAGCTCTTACCCCGGTGTAGCTCCTGATTTTTATAAGATTAATATAATGCCTCTTGCCAAGTCACTTGTGTAAGAAGGGCATGTGATGGAATTTTAGCCAGTGTTGTAGCAAGGGTTGTCTTCTGGGGTAAGCCTCTGGGAATATTGTCTTTCCCTTCAGGAGAGATAAACAAGAAGATATGTTTTTTCTTTTTCCTAAGTGATCAAGTGTTTGGAATTGAGATTCGTATCTGCTCCCACCATCTTGATACTAGATTGAATTAAACCCAAACAGAGGGTATGTGTGTGGTGGGGGTGCAGGGTGAAAGAAGGAAGCAACATAGCATTCCCTTGGTGGATGAACGAGAGAGCTCTAAAGCTCTATCTTTAGGTTTCCTATTAAGTGTGAGGTAAATCCCCTGTTGCTTGAGTCAGTTGACATCCGAGTTTCTGTAACTTGCGGCCACAAGCAAGTTAGCAGATAAACCAAGAGTCAAAAATGACTCAGGACAAGTCCTTGGACTGCAAATCCAAATATAAGATAAGCTATCACAAAATTTACGTCATCCTAAAAGACCCATTGCAGTATGATTAATAGAGCTGGAAATGTACATGACAGAACTTGAAAGAAAAATATCAGATTTTTTTTTTTTTTTTCAGAGAAGATGACCTTAGCTGCCACCGATAACTATATTGTAAAGAATGAATTGCCAGGCTCTTATTCTTTATGGAAATACAGATGTGGTTGCTTTCATCTTGTAATCAGATAATTGAGCTCTAGTTTTCACTCATGTATTCAGCAATAAAATGAATTAGGTCTATCCAGAATTCTGTGCAAATTCTACCCACTAACAGGCCCCACTGCCTGCCTCTCACCAAGCCAGTCTAATTTAGATATTCTTTAAGGTTATTATGTTTCAGAGATCCATCCTCAATTTCTCTTCCTAACCAGACATCTTCAAACTTAATATTATGATATACAAATGGTCAAAGTCCTGTCCTCATGACATTTGGATCACGTGCTGCCCAAATGATAATTCTGTGCTCTGGACTTGAACCAAGGCTATTTGAGAACATTCCTGAAATCGCAGGGTGATTAAAACTAATAATGATCAACTGAGTCAGCCTTTCTTCTCTGGAATGTGTTTTCTTCTCATTTATTAAGGGTGTTTTTCTCCACCACTAAAGCACTATTGTATAACAAATTACTCAGAATGTGACATCCCAATGTATACTTTTACACAATGGATCAGAAAAACTGCACTATCTGGTCCTCTTGAACACATGGCTTAAAAAAAAATTCCTACATACATGCTGTGGTTTATGAGTGTGACCCTTTCCAGACATGATCTGAAGTTCACTCTATTGTCTTTACGTCCTCAATCTTTTCTCCGCTTATAGTTCTGGCAGCCAGTAATGAAGGAGGAAGGTCAGCTCTACAGTAACTCTGCACTTGCTGATCTCTAACATTTTCAAGAATGACAGATTCACTTCCCATTTGTTGTACCTGTGGAGACTGTTTTAAAAGAACTGGAAGATTTATGCAGCTCCACAAACAACATAGCATAACTTTAAAAAAACAAATGACACCTGTCTAGCGGTTCACAATGTTGGATGATTAATGTCACACTTTTTGCAAACAAGGGACTGATTCATCCTTTTCCATCTTCCCAAAGGCTCTTGGGCAAAGGCAGGGTGGAACTTTCATCTGTTCCATGTCTCATAAGTAAGCATGCTTATTATGATGGGATCCAATGTACATTCGGACCTGTCCGCTGGGCATTAACCTCAAGCGCTGCAGCCTGACCAAGTACAAATGCCAAGGAACAAAGCTATGAGTGATGCAGAGAAGGTGCTCCAGAGAAGCCTCAGCACAGGCTGCTGGGGTTTCTTGGCAAAGCTTTCATTTTCATCTCTTCCAACCACGAAATAATAACTAAGTCAACTTAAATATAAATCAACAAATAGCCATGTAGAAATTTTACTACTGGACTTGACCTTGGCTAATTTATAGAAAAATAAACTGTCCCAATTCAAGGGAAAACAAACATGACAGAGAATGTCACAGGTACATCCTTGATCATAATACTTAAAATTCTTGCTCCCTGACCACTTTAAGACATTCTATAGATATTACATTAAAAGTGTCTATTTTATTGAAAGGGAATTCAATGAATAATGAAATAACGTACTTTAACCAAAGTACATTAGATGTTTTACAAGACCATAGCATCATAAAATCAAATAGTGTATATATATTTTTAAATGTAACTTATTAGGTCAGTAGTCTTTCAGGTAGGATAATTAGTAAATAAGAACACTGGCTCTGAAGCCTCTACCTGGGTTTCAGTACTGGGTCTGCCAATTTCTGGCAGGATCAACCTAGAAAACTTATATAATGAACTGTGCCTTTACTATCCTTATTCCTTATTAAAGATAATTTTGTATACTAGAGAGTATTTTTTGAAGATGAAAAGTTAATATTTGCCACATAATAGGACACATTCAACATAAACTATCAATTGTTACTCTTCTAAAATGTGAGCTCTCAGGATTTAAAATGAGAATTTTAAGACTGTGCATCAAAAGATGAGATCTAGAAACTCGCTTTAAACAACATGCAAAAGTCATCGATTTTTTTAGGGAAGAAAATAAATTTAACATAGGAAACCCATCACATCAGTTGAAATGCTTTATACATTAAATAAAAAATTTAAAAACATATTGAAAGCCTCTGCTGATAGTCATTCATCTAACAATATTTCTTACATACAAACTATTTGTCAAGCACAGGTGGATTCCAAGGATACCAGGATGATCAGAACGAATACGGTCCCTGACCTCATGCAGTATCTATTCTAGTGGAGAAAACAGATAGGAAACAATTTTGGAGTGTGACCTGGATGTGATGAAATTCAAACTGCACTGTGCGAGGTTCCATCGTTTGTGGAGGTAAGGCTATTTTAAATGGGATTATCAGGGAATGCCTGTCTGAAAATCGAGACCTTCACAATGAAAATCAGCTAGTCTTACAAACACGCAAAGGGAGAATAAGGAATTCATACTGTTTACCGGACACTGTGGAAGGCACAGAGGATTCAGTGGTAAGCTTGGAGATGAAGTTTCTGCCCTCTTGGAGCTTATAATATAAAGAAGGAAGAAAAGAAACTTTACATTTTGTTTATTATTTTTTTTTTTTGGAAGGAATCAGTATGACACCAAGATTTCTGGTTTGAGAAACTGCTTCCCAGATGGTTCAGGTTCCTTACAAGAGAGGAAAGAATGAAAGCAAGTTAGCTTTGAAATGTCCAAGAGATACCCAAGTAAAGCAGTCAAGTGGACAGATGTAGAAGTGGTTAATTCATTGTAGAGTTCATTAATTTTTTTCCCCAAGAACGTTTCAAAGCAATTGAAATGACTAAGATTATCCAGAGAGAGAATAAAGATAATGACAAGGGCTGGGTGCGGCGGCTCACGCCTGTAATCCCAGCACTTTGGGAGGTTGAGGCAGGCAGATCGCCTGGTCAGGAGTTCAAGACCAGCCTGGCCAACATGGTGAAACCGTGTCTCTACTAAAAATACAAAAATTAGCCAGGCGTGGTGGCAGGTGCCTATAATCCCAGCTACTTGGGAGGCTGAGGCAGGAGAATTGCTTGAACCCAGGACACGGAGGTTGCAGTGAGCCAAGATTGTGCCACTGCACTCCAACCTGGGTGACAGAGTGAGACTCCATCTCAAAAAAAAAAAAAAAAAAAAAAAAAAGATAATGACAAATGACTGAAGTGAGTGTCCTAGTGATGGTAAAAGCCAAGGTAAACTCCCCTCTCATGTGGAACATCATTACTGAATTCTCCAATGGGAAATTTAAAAGTTTTAGTAGAAAGGATATCAATAGAAGTCTCTCGTTCATGATCTTAACGTGACAATAAGTTTTGTTTTGTTTTACTCTAGACATATAAAGAAAAATGTAGGGATATATATTGGTTATTCATAAATTTATTTGAGCTATGGTTAAGACTTTCTAAAAATGTGTCAGAACAGATTTAAAAATGATTCAACATTGAATGTTAGAGGTTAATTTTTCATTTTTCATCACTGATATATATATATATATAATGTATGATGGTAATGGGATAATAGTATTTCTTAATACCTTGCTCCTTATTCTTAGAATTCATATTTATATCCACATAACTTTATCATAAAAAGGAATAAAGTGTAAAGGAATAAATTTAATGATAAAATGTTTCCATGCCATTCAAAAAATGTTTAATATCCCCAAGGCTTCTGAAATATTATGTGACATAAAATTGCTTGATATGCTTATTTTAGAAACATTAACATAATGGAATACAATCAATAGAATCTAATAATTACAGCAAAACCACATAATTCCCATAAGTAAACATGTGCTGTACATGCTATACAAATTACTATCCTGTAAAATGCTTAACTGCATTCTATATAAGGCAATTCATCAGAAAATAAGACTATCTCATTTTACTCTTGAGAGCATTTCAGAATTTATCATGTAACAGCAGTAGCAATAAAGACTCAAATTTCCAAATTCATTCAAGACCAGAGACTGGCACAAGGAATACGTAATGTACGATCATCTTCCAATTTATGTATAATCAAATAGCTTCTAAGGAGGAACTTTAAGTGATAGCCAGAAAGACAGAGGTTTCAAACTGGTTTACAGTAAAAAAAAAAAAAAGAAAAAAAAAAAAGAATACCACCACCACCAAAAATACCAACGCATGAAAATTACCATTGACTTTCATTTTAGGACGCTTAATTTGTGTTTATGTAAGCACTTCTTAAACCATGACTTTTTCGTTTCTAAAATAAGTTTCTAAGTTAATAAAGGAAATTTTATTTGGTGCCAAAACATTTAACATCAGTTTACACATATCTGCTCCCAGATCACTAGGTTGTCAGTCTTCCTCTAGTCTCATCTCTGTGGGTTATACCTGCAAGAACTAGGGGAGGAGGAGAACATTACTAAAGGAATCCAGCCTTTCTTCCCTTTTCTCTAACTCCACCTGAAAAACTCTTTTAAATAAAATTACACCGTCATTATTAGATTGATTCCAAACTGAATGATTAAAGTTTTATCTCATGAATAGACTCAATAGGGAATTATATTTTTCTCCTGTCTCCATTAATGTCTATTTTATCAGTATCTTATAAGTTAATAAGATGTTTGGTGAATAGCAATCTCTATAGGTTTATTCTTCTAAGCACAGTAAAACTTAATTTAATCACAGCTTCAAAATATCATACAATAAAACTAATTTAATTACACTTAGCAATGGCCACTAGACTCATTAAAATGTTAATGGAGCTTATAATTATTAAATTGCTTAATGATTGCTAATAAGAATAAGTGACAAAATAAAATTTAAGTACAAAACAAAAATGCCCTCAGGTAATTTTTCTCAGCTTCAATCCCATTTGACATTGTTACGTTAATATCCTAAGAAACATGGCAGAATGGAGACTCATGACAAAGGACGTAACGTTGAACAACTTCAAAATAAATGTCTTTCTGTGTAGAAAAGCCAATCAATTGCTCTGCAAAAAAATTTGCAGATTATTTCACTACACTAATTGGTGATTAGAAACAGAAGTATTAAGATAAATAAAATTCTGATATTTTAATAACTACATTTTGCTCAGCAATTTGTAAATACACATCAATTTATCTTCATGGCAATAAAATGATTCTCAATCTATTGAGAATTCTACCTCCAATTGTCATTTTTGTTTAATTTTATGGTTTGCTGCAATAAACTCTTAAATAAATTATATTTTCTTTCAGATAGTTACATGGGTTAAATTGCTTTTATTTTGAGATAATTAGGCACGTTTGAGACCATTTTAAAACTTGGCTCAGAGGTTACTTCTTTGGAGGAAAACCACTAAACAGTGTGTGGGCAAGAGGGAGATAAGTACTAAATTAACCTTTGAAAATATAAAAATCTACAGTGTGGGGGAAAAAATTAAACATAAATAAATGTATTATCTTTTGAAAAGGTTATTGGCTACTTAGTGTTCCTTTGTCTCAGTATCAGTTCCTTTGATGAATGAAAGGCCATCAACCAGTCTAGGACTCATCCTTCCCTCTGAAAGGCGCATAAAATGAAGTTACGCCATCGTGTCATGCAAGGGGGAATAACATTGAGCAATCTTCTAGTCCCCAAATCTCTCCTAAAACTTTGTGATGGTCTTGGAAATGTACAAAGTAGAAGGCTTTTTTTTTTTTTTAAATGAGCCTGAGAAAGCATTTTTTATATTACAGTTGCAAGCCCAAAATGGTAAATGACGCTTCCAGCAGCACAATGCTGTTGGCAGTAGCCAACCCTAAAGGCTCCTCACTCCCACACTTGTGCTGTTTTACATGGGCCAGTTGTGATAGAAGGAATAAGAGCCCGCATAGTGACCACATGCACAGAACGTATTCAAACATTGCTTCTGTTGGTGCCTGAGTTGGACTCGATTTCTTTGGTAGCATCTTTTTCATTCCTTCCTTTGCTCAGTATTTTCCAGACACGTTTTTCTTCCTTTCTGTAAACACCTAGGCTTTTACCTGTGTCAAAGCTGTTGCACTTCTCTATTTCTAATACTACCTTTCTCACATTTTCCTCAAATCTTATCATTCAAGTCTCAATTCAAATGGTACCTTTCAGAGATGCCTTCTCCTACCATCCACGATGAAGCAGCCAATTCCCGTTACCCCAGCCAATCCAGTACATTGCCCAACTATACTTTATGCATGGCGTTTGCCACTATCTGAAGTTGTTTTACATATTTGCATACAAGTTTAATATCTGTCTCCTCCTATTAGGATGCGAGATCTTTCAGGGCAGGAACTTTGACTCCTATGCTGCGGCAGTCTCAACACCAAGAGTGCTTAGTAAGATAGCGGAGGAGAAATCTGACTGCTGCCTACTGAAAATGTAGGTGAGAATGAAGAAATTTAGGACACAATTTAGTCAATTTATAATCTTGTACTGTTGCAGCTATTTTTTAAGAAGCTGGCTGTGGGGCTTTATATGCAGCACCATCACTTTTATCCACTCTAAAACTTACCTTGTTAGATTCAACTTACTTTTACAGACCTGATGAGATTTTTATTGATTCTAGTTGTCATGGTTTTCTCCTATATATTAGTAATGCCCACCATATAAAATTGTGAGATACTTAAGCTATATTAAATAGTTAAAACTATACTTAAAAGGCACTTACAAAGTAAACAGTATCAAGTGCATGTTAAGTAGCCTATAATAGACATTATAACTACTTGTAATGAAGAGATTAGCTGTATCTTTCAGCCACCTCTCCATTTATAGATATAATAGGTGAAGTGCAAGCACATTATCACTTAATGTAAATAAATTGTGTTAGTCACTATCTTGTAAACACATTTTCACAACATTGTGAGAAAAGAAAAAAAAAACACTGTAAACCATGAAGCTGGGATTCATAAAATGCATCTACTTCTACAATAGGCAGAGAGGCAATGGTGACAAAAGTTCCTAGTGTTTTCCACAATTGCATTTCATATTTGCCCTACAAGGAGTACCTTTGGATATATGGGTAATTAAATCTCCATGGGCGATTAACTGCTGGTCTCCTATCTGCCACTGCCAGCAAGGATACTACGTGTAATCATTCACATCACGGATTATACACACAACTCCTCTGAACAGAAATGATGTTTTCCATAACTCGTTTCATTGGGTCACTGAACAACCATCGTGAGAGTTTTAGACACAGCCCTGTTTGGATCTGGAGCCGAGGAATGAGATGCAAACTCCAGACCTGGTTACCGATCATTCCCCTAGTGTACTGGATGTCATATAACATATGGTTATTAACAGCTTAATGAACTATACCCAATTTGAGAAGTAAAATCAATATAAAAGATAAAAATTTCAGTCTACATATGATACCTTAATCAAAAACCAATAAATGCTTTTAAACTTAGTAGAAATGATAGCAATATCAATGCATGTATCCCTTTGTGCCATTCTTAGAAAATGAAGATTTAAGTATGAGATATTTGAAACCAAAATCTATGATCACTTATACCTTACATTTCCACCTCTTGAACAATATTACTGTTTTTAAAATTGCATCCCCAAGGGGTACAGATGGAATGGGGGAACAAAGTTGTTCTGAGAACTACAGAAATGAGTTAAAGGGTACATGGGAAGCCCACAACCTTCAGCCAATCATCAACACTGGCAAGATTCCTGAAATGTAAGAGCTCAGTATCTGTGTCTTTGAATCAGTTAAAGCACCTACTGTGTGCTTGTCATATGTATCACGTAGGAGAGGAAAAATTTTACCTCTACTCTCTTAAAGACTACCCCCCACCCTACACACACACATAACTGGGTCTGAAAATTAAATTGACGTCAGAAAGTAACAGGGGAATAACTTACAAATTTATTTAACACCACTTTTACCTGGTATGGGAGCCTTCATAAGAAAATCACCCAAAGACATCCTTTGAGTTGAACATTCCTATACTGCATTAGACAAAATATGGTAAATTATGAAAATGTGATTAAAGCTACGCAGCTTGGGCTAGGGTAGCTAGCTGGGTGAGAAGTGGCTAGAAAGGTAAGGGTTTGTGTTACAAATGTTTGTTCGTAAAGACTTTCCTTGGTCTCATCCCATTCTTGATGAGAATGACACTCTCCTTCTCCTGTAGGAAGGACACTTTTCATGTGGGAATTTCATCTCTTTTAAGAAATCAAAGGAAAGTCAGAGTGCTCTCCTTCCAGCTGCTGTTTCTCAAGAGCCTTTAACTCAAAATATTTAATATACCAGACTCGCATAATCTAGGGTTGAATGCTCTCAACATTCAACATCCATACACATCCAGTAAGAAACAGCTGACAATGATAAACCAGGTTGACTCTCAGCATTCAAGTCCAAGTCCATGAGGGACATATGCATGTATGGAGGTGGCGGCCAGGGGGGCAGGGAACTATAACAGATACCTCAACGCGTGTCTAACCTTTTCAGCAGGTTCACTTTTAATGTTAATTTTACTGAGGGAAAGGAAAGAGGCAAACTCCTTTCTCGATAGTTTCTCCATTCTCTTATGCAAGCCATTTTTTTTTTGGAAGAGCAAAAATTAAAACCATTAGCAAAAGGGGAAAATGTATGATAGATCTAAAGGACTTATGAAGTTTATTGTGTATGTTTTGTGTTGCCAAATGCCAGTAAAATGTTTAAGCCAATATAAAAAAACAAAGGCAATATTGCTCTTACCTTGGGGCTGATTTTAGAGTTTCATTCTAATTTAAAGAGAGAAGACGACAGACCCCAGAAATATGCATCAGATGGAAAGGCCTTTAGTTCTCTTGGGAATAAGAAGTGTTTGCCTTCCATGATTGTATTTCAAGCATATGTGGTAAAAGAATCAAAGATAATTTCAAAGTCAGAAATTTGACATACAAGAGAAAAGGAAAACAGTATTTGAGAAAAGAAATGCATACAGAGGCATGAAAAAAAGAGACTAAGTTAAAACTTTTTAAATAAAGGATAGTAAGGATTAAAATGAATGGATTATCATTATGATTTTTAAATGCTCCTGTAACTTGAAAGACTGAAGCATGAACTGCCAGTTGGTATACACATATAAACACCCAAAAACATCATTTTGGCCAAGCTTGCATAATACAAGAACTCACTTTGTTATTAACATTTAAATGCAAACCAATCTAATTTAGCAAATAAAGACACATACTCCTAGAAGGGAAAACATCCTGAATAATTTGAATAGGATCTTTACTTGGAAACCACTTTCATTGTGTTATCAGAAAAACTACTTTAATTTGTTTCCAGCTGTGAGTTGGTGCAGCATCCCATAATGAAATCAAGGAGAAGCAGCATTCACTTTTGCTCTATATTTCTACAGCGTCAGAGTACAGCTGATGAATCACATATCCATCCATGCTTGCTTACAGCAGGGAAGCAGCAGTATTCTTTGTTAAAAGGTATTTTGTGGCAGCATTGGGAGCAGCTGCAACCACTCTGGAAATGACAACTATCAGTGAAACAGTGCACACGTACGTCAAGTTAAGATCTGTTTACAGGAACCACAACCGGAAGAGCAATGTTAATACAGCCAATCTGGCCCCACACTCTTGGAAGAAACCTGAAGGAGAGGAGAAGACCTTTTAATGAGACACCATGGTGCTTCCACTACTCAAGACCAGATGAGGCAGATTGCTCTTATTCCCAGAATCCCCGTTACCTCCCACTGCTGACTGCACATCCTGTGTGTGCTTGGCTGACAGGAGAAAATGACAGGTTGAAAATCTATACCTATGGCTAGAAATGAGAAATGCCTCATCTTCCTTAACCCAAACCTAGGGTAGAAAATAATCAACCCCCTCCAGTTTTCATCTTCTCCAGAGAAAGGAGCAGAAAAGTTGAGCAAGTTCCTTTGTATTAGAGCAACATATAAATAGAAGAGCTGTACGAAATCTTCCAATTCCTGCTTGGTACTTGATGCATGTCTGCAAAGCAACTAAACCCACTGTGGACCTCAGGTAATTATGACTGAGAGTAAAAGAGGTGAAAAGGGACACATCCCAAGGTACTCCTCACTCCTTTGTAGACAATTCAGGAACTAGAAGTCAATCATTTAAATTAGAAAGTCTCAGAAAGGGCTGGTAAAACAGATGGAGTCATTTTATCCCCACGACAAGGAGTAGTTATGGTACGGGACACATTTCAAGAAACAAGAAGCTAATGTTGCATTGTGTTGGAGTGATCCCTCAGAAAAAGAGGACCATACTCAGACTACTGAGGGGAAAGAGGGCTGATTTTAAGAAGTTTAATTAAGTTTGTAACACGTAATAGCAACACAATTCAAAGAGAGCAGAATAAGGTCCACCCATGGTATTCTGAAGCTCGCTATCCTTTCACCTCCTTGCTCAAAAATAAACTACCCAAGAGATTCTCAGAAGGTCGGTTGCAGTAGAAATCCCTGAGTTATCCTACGAAAAACATGGCAAAAAGGCCAGGACATGGCTAGGTTGTTAGTAGATTGCCTGAATTCAGTTTTTTAAAATCTTGACATAGCTTCTTATAGGAGTAATTTAACTGAAGTGCTCAACATGAAATTAGGGAAAGGAGACAAAAAGCTGAGACTTTTAAACAGGTGAAAGCTTTAGACGCAAATGTGGATGACTCCTATTACCATACCTGCAGCCCGAAGTACAATAAGCTAAAATGCCTTGAAGGGAAAAATCACTGAAGTCTTTTATCATCACACAAACTAGTTAACCGTGTGACAAGTTTTATGTCAATAACAAAAGCATCCCGCTCCCTTACTCTTCATTTTATAAAGGTGTATTTCCTTTACCAGGAAGGGAACCAGCGCATGAGCTTTCTACAGCTCAGCGAGGGCACACAAAAAGCAAGCAACTGAAATCTGCTAACTTACCCTGTCTTAGAAGCATTTTCCAGGGAGAATGCTAACCCAATTGTATAAATAGCATACAGAAATTAGAGAAAGCAACAGCTTGTTTTTCCCTGTCTGCCCAAATCTATTGAGAATGCAACTGTTACTTTTGCAGGTGAGACACATTAGCTAACAAAGGTGTCATTAGTTTCTCTTAATGTACTTGGAATAATTCACAAGCTAATGGCATTCACCAGAGGCAGTTCTCAGACGACATCACTGTGCCCTCCCCTCCAGCAGTGAATCTGCTGAGAGAGTTCATGAATACCGGCTTATTCTGCTGCCCAGAAGTTATCAGCCTGGTAAAGACATTAGGGGTCAGGATCCTGCAGGCAAATGTTAAGGAACAATTTTCCTGGCACGTCTCTGGCAGTTTGTTCCATTAAAATTGAATTGAAAAGAATTTTTAAAACGGCTTCAGCAATGCTCACACCTGGACAACTGCCCAGTTGTGAGGGACTGAATCATGCCATCCTTTTTGGCCCCAAATATTATAGAAAATGAATATGAGTTTTTGCCCCATGTAAAATGGAATGTTTTAATAAATTTAGTAAATTCATTACATCTGGCATTATTTCTTATAGTTTTTTGGCACAAGAAGACATAGATGGTTTAGCTTCATGAGAAGGCAGAAAATAGTGTAGTGTTCGAATTTAATTGATCAGAAGTAAGAACACACGTGAGCATTACTTAAAGGGGTTTCAAGAGTTTTCTGTGAGAAGGGCTATTTGTTTATGGAATGTGTCTCCTAGGGAGGGGAAAAGGATGCAGTAATGGGTTCCGAAGTAGCTCTTTGTGGCATAGTTAAATCCCATGGGGCAAGTTTCTGAGGGGCCTGTTTCAGCTAACTTCTCCTCCCTCATCTCAGGAAGCTTTCCTCCCGGGCATCAATTATGCAATGCAGCGTTATTATCTTACTAAGTATATTTTTTCTATTTCTGAGACGGAGTCTCACTCTGTCGCCCAGGCGGGAGTGCAGTGGCGCGATCTCAGCTCACTGCAAGCTTCGCCTCCCGGGTTCACACAATTCTCCTGCCTCAGCCTCCCGAGTAGCTGGGACTACAGGCGCCCACCACCACGCCTGACTAATTTTTTTTTCTATTTTTCAGTAGAGACGGGGTTTCACCGTGTTAGCCAGGGTGGTCTCGATCTCCTGACCTCGTGATAGCCCGCCTCGGCCTCCCAAAGTGCTGGGTCACTGAGCCCGGCTTTTTCTTTTCTATTTCCAAAAGAACCTCCCGCTGTTGGTATCTGACACATAGATACATAGCAAGAATAGATTGGTATATTCTCATATCCCTAAAGGGATATAGTATCTCCTTGGGTAAGCCGAAGGATGTATCATCACTTTCTAAAAACCAGGAACTGGGGTTTTAATCATGTTATTTTTAAAACAAAAAGATGCCTGGTGCAAGGATTCCTGGAGACTTTGGCCACTATTGACTTTGGCAGTACCTTCATAAGAAATGAGTGAAAATCTGTTATGCTAGTCCGAGTGTGAATTTTTGGCAGGGTGGGGGGTGGGGACTGGTAACAGTAAAATGAGGCTACTCATGCCATTTGCAGAGTATTAGTCCATTTTCATACTGCTATAAAGAACTACCCGGGACTGGGTAATTTATAAAGGAAAGAGGTTTAATTGACTCACGGTTCAGCATGGATAGAGAAGCCTCAGGAAACTTACAATCATGGTGGCAGGTGAAGGGGCAGCAAGCACTTTCTTCAGAAGACGTCAGGAAAGGAAGGGCGGTGCGAAGTGGGAAGAGCCCCTTATAAAACGATCAGATCTCATGAGAACTCACTCACTATCACGAGAACAGCATGGGGGAACTGCATCTTGATTCAATTATCTCCACCTGGTATCTACCTTTGATAGACAGGAGATAGGAAAATACTGGGTAGAAGAGGGTGGTTCCCTGGCAAAGGCCTCACCCTCAAGCCTGGATACCCACAGCCCTAAATGAGGATAGGATTTCCTGTTTTCTCACCCAAAAAGCTGTCTTATGGCCTGCTACGCCCCCTATCCTATACCTATATAAACCCTGAACCTCAGACTTTAGAAGCAGATGAGAAGACAAGGAGACAAGCAGACGAATGGCAGGGCAGAGAAAGAAGACAAAGAGTGTCTGAATGCCAAGAAGAATTTGACTAAGGGAGGTCAGAGAGGAGTTCAGCCGCTGGATGACCAAACTCCAGGGGAAGATCATCTTCCCCCTCCATCCCCCTTCTAGTTACCCATTCATCCTGCTGAGAGCCACCTCCACCATTCAGTAAAAGCCGCATTTGTCCTTCAAGTCTGTGTGTGACCCTATCATTCCAGGACACTGGACAAGAGCTCAGGACAGAAGGTTCTCACACAGGCCCTCTGCCCTTGAGGAAAGGCAGAGGGTCCATTGAGCTGGTTAACACTTAAGAGCTGTCAGTGGATGGCAAAGCTGAAAGAGCGCAAAGTATCACTCTCACTTAGGCTTTGGGAGTTGGAGACACCCATCCCAGTTACCACTGAGTGGGGGGCCAGATCCCAAAGCATTCGCCCTGGCTCCTACACCTGACAGTTTGTGTGCTCCCCATCCTGTAAGGAGTTTGAGCTCACAGCGGCTGAACAGAGAGCCACACCCCTGTCTCACGTCCTGTGATGGGGGGACAGGGAACTCTGGTTTCACCTTGACACATGAGGATTATAGGGATTACAATTCAAGATGAGATTTCGGTGGGGATGCAAACCTAACCATATCAAGCAGAGCACTCTTCTAAGAAAGTCACAATAATATATGTGACTGGCCCCTTGAATCTCTTCATACATGGGGGCTATCAGTTGCTAACTGAGATTACCCAAAAGATGATTTAAGGGACTAAAAAGTAATTGATAATGTGTTATATATTTTACCCACGCACAAATTTAAGAACCGCTGTATAAGCACTTCTCTACTTTCCTAATGCCCTCTGGACAGTGCTCTGAAAATCCAATATATAAATGTCTAATATATAAAAGTTAATATCCTTATAAAATGTAAGGGGCAGAAACTATTACACAGTCACCAACTTTCACAGGTGAAGGTTAACACCCTCTTCAGGGGGGCACAGACAGAGAAGAAGTTTCACCTGTCTTCAGTGGAGAATTGGAAATAGAGAACAGGATTGAAGCACCTGCTGTATGGCAGGCACACCTGACAGTCATAACTAAGCACACTCTGCGAGTGACCGTATGTGGCAGACACACCTGAATGTGTGTTCAGAGTTCTGCACTAAGGAATCCAGGTGTGGCCAAGTGAGAGAATCAGTGAAACAACGCTCCTTCTCTATGAGGAACATATGAGCCCTGGCCCGTCCCATGGAACGTGTGCTGCATAGAGATGGAGGCCTTTTGTTTGGGGTTAAAGGAAGGTTGTCAGGTGGAGGTTGTTAAGGGGAGGGTGCTAAGTGACAATACTATATAACTGGATTTTTTTTCTTTTCTTTTAAAACAAGTGGGCAGTTCTGCTTAGTCTGCTGCCACTGGACTGCCTTGTTTATGAGTTTCCTCCTAATAAAACCCCTTTCTTCTTTGTTGGCTGTGGGTCTCTTTTTCTGCCCCCTGAACCTGGTGCCATTCCTACCGAAGTGAATAGGGGTTGGGCCAGACACCTTCTCTCTCCCAACTCTGCATGGTTTTTAGGCAGCCTGTAATCATTTATTTAAACCAGCTGTTGGATTGACTAGGTGCCTGGAACAGAGCTTCCAGAAAAGAGAAAGGTCTCTCCCTTTCCCCACCCAAATCTCTTGCCCTACAGGTGAGGGATTTGTGACTGTCAAGTTCCCCAAGGACGTGAAAGTCCCACAACATTATGCATTAAATGGCAAAGACCCAAAGCGGTTTGAATGTGTCAATGTGAAACACTCAAAAGCATCTGTTGTGTGGCATTAAAATGTAGACGTTTGAAATAGTTCATATATGAAATTTGGGTCACCATGAAAGAAACTTTAATCAAGTAAGACTTTGTTTCATACATGCACAAGTACACACACACTCCCCTATGACAAAAGAAGGAAAAGGAGTTGAGTAACTCAAGACACTTTGAACAGATGAGAGAAGGCCCCATAAAGGAAACAGGAAGTAGAACTACAGATTAGTCCCATTATGCCACAAAAATGATGTAATTTTAATAGGCACAAGAGAGCATATGACTTAAAAAATTTTTCTCTAAGTCTTAGTTTATCTATAAGAGAGATCATACAATCAATGTGTTTTTCTGTAAAATTTTTATTTCTATTCTCTATATTATTCTTGAAACAATGCCGATGCCTTGAAAAGATTAATATTCACACTACCTAGCTCAAGGGATACATCTTAACCTGCACAAATCACCATCTTAGCTATACTGGGCATTGAAAGGAAAATTCTTACTAATTTAAAATATATTTGAAAACAATGTGTTTAGTGACTACCTACTATTGAGTCAGTGACTCTGATATACAATCTCAAGCAATAGCTTTTTCTATGGTATTATCATTTGAAAACACTTTTCCTCTTTCAAATTTCCTAGGACTTGAGAAATAAAGTAATTGAGAATAACCTCTTAACAGTTTAAACCAGGTATGAAGTCTGAAACATTTATATAGAGATAGTTAGGTTTTATGTAGGAGATATAATACGTAATAATGCATACACATAAATATTAGGATCACTAGGAAATTTTTCTTCAAAAAAGAAGAATGTGAAATATCTATATGACATTTGAGCTTAGGGTCTGACCTGAGTATTCTTACTGTGAAATTTTGGAATATGAAAAGTTCACAGTTTAGAGATTTTTAAGAGGTTACACATAATAAGTAAAAACATCTCTCACAATATTTCCCTGATACAAAAAGATCTAGATTTCATCTTTGTATTCCTAAATATGCTAAAAATTAAGATCAATTTTTAATGTTGACTCTGAAAAAATTCCCCATTAATCATCCATAGCAATTAGTGGCCTAATGCCTCAAAGTATCATGTTTTATTTAACATTTGCTTTGCTGTGGGTTCCGAGGACTATGCCCAGCTGCATTTATCCCTTATACCATTCAATGTTTATTTTGTCCCTGTAATTACCTCAAGATTTCACAGATTCATTTGCTTTCTCTAGTTCGTCTTGAGTCCAAGTGGCAATCCCTTTGAGAAACAGCCAACATTGCTCCTACATGAGGATTAGGTGCTGCTGTAGAAATGTCTATTGGGGGTAGTTATAGGATAATATCACAATATTTTTATCAGTCAGACCAGACATTTAAGAAATACCCTGACTTGATGTTGTCCCCTAACATGCTCTGTCAAAACTCCCACATCATATATACACATATAGGACCAAGGGAGAAAGGTTGTGCAAGAAATATCCACAGAGACAGAGAGAGACTACTTTATAGATCAGGAAAAGACACTCAAGTGATTTCTTGCCCTTCCTCAGCAAAGGGCTTCTTTGCATGAGGTTCATGGCAGCTCAGTAGAAAAAGGTCAGTAATTTCCTCACCCCTGATTCTATTTGACTGGACTCCAGGGAAAGCTGCTTGAGGTATAATCCCTTTGCCAAGATGCAGCGAATGCAAAACCTTTACTGTCTACTCCTGCAGTTACAACTCATAAAGCCAATTTTGGAGACAAGCTGTAGCCTGTTGTCTGTAGTAAGAATTGTAAATGAGCTGCTGAGACATCCTGCTTAGGGAATTCCTTTAAAAAAGGTTAAGTGTAAATTGCCCTTTGGATTAGTCTGAACATCTCCATTATAAAAGTTGCTGGAACTAGTAGGCAGAAATAAAAGCTTCCAAAAAAATATATATATACATTCTTGGAAATAAATGCAGAAGTATAAAATCATACTTTCTTTTCCTCAGTAAACACTTATAACATTATGTCCACTATTAGATTATGTAATACCATCTTACTACTTACTGTTAGAGAAAAGGAAGTGAACCAAAAGCTCATTTTAAGAAATTAAATTCTAAATTACCATTACTATCTAAAAAAATGTATTTGACTACTGAGGGCATACAGATTTCATATTACAAAGCATACATATAGTCTGAAATATATCAAATGATTGCCCCCCCAAAAAATCAGTAAAATGATATTCAAATTAAAATACAAATACAGAGTTAAAAACAATTCTAAGCTTTTATGAATCTGATTTTTAAGGCAAGACCTCATTCCAATACCATAAGGGAAATGCTATAATTAAGATTCCCTGTCTCTTAAAAAAATTTAAACAGAAAGAATAATTGTACCCTGTTAATATATTGTTACACATAGGCATTTTAATAATAGTAGTACAGAAGTATAATGAGAAAGACTGGTCCCTGCTGCTTCCTTACCTATCCCCAGTGCTGCTTCCCAGAGGCAACCACTTTTAACTATTTTTCCTTTTAGTTCTTCTGGTAGTTACTTCCATATCTCTAGGTACTTTCTTGATTCATTAATACTAATCATTTTATATTGTGTTTCTGCCGTAATAGGTAAGAATTAACTGATTTCCTATTCTCCTTTCCTGCCCACTCATTTTTATCTTGCTTCAATTCCTTCAGTGTTTGTTTACTGTCAGGCTTTTAATAATACACTTGAAATTTTGTCTTATGTAGTCAAGACTAGACTTTGAAAGATGAAGAGATGAGTGCTCCTCTGTTTTCCTTCCACTGCTCCTTCCTACTTGTGTGAGCCACTGTCACAGTTGATAACACCGGCACTATTCTGTACCATTATGGTCTCATTATTTGTTTATAAATTGATTTAAAATATTAAAAATCATAAAGCATGATCTATGTCATTTTGACTATGTGAATATTGTTCACTATAAAGGCAAATCAATGGCTGAGGGAACATGTCCTTCTGTGCAGTAAGACAGTCATAAACTCTCTGCCATTTCAAGGAGAAGGTTCTAATGGATTCCCCTCACTTCTCTGTATTTATTAGTTTTCAAAAGTATGAAATTCTTCTTTCTTGTTGGAATAAGAAACATCATCTTACTATTACCTTTCAGATTACCATTCATTCTGTTTGATATTCATTAAATTAAATTTCTTGAAGCACAGTGACTTCCTGTTTTAATTCAATCTGATATATTTCAAATTTGGCCCATGACTGTTTGAACAGATTTCCTCTTCCTGAAATTTTTGGACATTCTTACTTCTGCACACCTCTTAATAATCTGAAATTGCACTATTATGCATTTCAGCTGGGAAGTTTTACTCTCTCTCTTTGGCAGGAGAATTGGAAGACATACATCTTTCTTAAACTCTGGAGATGTTTTCTTGTAATTTTTTTTTTTTGATAACTTTTGTACTTCTGTTATCTCTGTAGTTTCATGAATTTGTACTAGTTGAATGTTTGATTTATGATTTGATTCTCAATATTTCTTATAGTTTCATATTTACCTCATCTTTCTTTTTTAAAAAATTACTCTGTTTTTGAAAGTCCCCTAAATTTTATTTTCCACCATTTCTACAATTTTTTAAAGTTAATAGATTGCACTTTTAAGTTCTATTTTTTTTCTTTTCTGATTGTCTACCTTACATAGCATGCATTTTTAGTCTTTTCCATATAATACCTTTTCACATTTCTCTTAGGTTACATATACTTAGAGACAGGTTACACATATTTAGAGACAATTTTCAAAAGCCTCCATTTCTGCCTCTTGTGAGTAGAGGCATGGACTTCCTTTAGTCCACACTACCTTTTCAAAGAATTTTGTATAGAAAAATACTTTGGAAGATAAAGCTCCTCCCTCTAGGAAGAAGGACAATTTTGTTCACTGTTCAGTATAACAAAGAAAGTGTTGACTCACTCAGATGTAACTATCAGGCAGGCTTTCCTTCCGTTATAAAGATTTCTGAAGATTAAAGCTTTTCCTTTAATGTCACTCACTGTATGTGCACGTGTCACTTAGCTCTCTTTGCCTCAACCTCTGGAGATTGGTGCTTAATGAACTGGTAAAAGAGTGCTAATACTCTGTCCAGAACTATTGTTGTGAGTAGTAAACAGTACTCTGTCTCCCAGAGGTCTCATATCTCTGCTCAGCATTCACAAAAATATGGCAGACTAGTCAAAACAAGCAGGGTAAAATCCCAGACCTTTCATTCATATATATCCCAAACGTGTATTATCCTCCACTTCTCTTTACAGAAATATATATATAACCTTTAAAGGTCTCTTCTGCTCTTTTTGTTATTACTTTTTCCTCTGGAGTCATTTTTTGTGGTTAATCATTGTCTTTATTGTTTCTTTCATTCCCCATGCTCTCCTCAAAAGTCTGGTTTTATTGATTTATTCATATTAAGAATGAGAGAAATAAAAGAAATTGACATCTCTGTTACATAGATGAGGTGCCTGTAACTGGCAAATGTTTGGGGAGTTAGAACAGAAAACTCAGAAATTTTACTGTGGTTGGAGTGAAGAGGCCAGAAGCCCAGTTGCCACATGTGTAGAGCTGGGCACTGGGACATTAACTTGTTTGCTGGTCTAGTATTCAAATTTAGTTTCATGCAGTGGCGTAAACTCTACCCCCAGATGGTAGAGTCTGGCTCACCACCCGGCTCCTTTTAATAGCACGAACATTTCTGCATTTCTGCACTACATACCGGACAGAACAATTTTAAACATGTGAACGTGCCCATTATTTTATATTCTAAAGAAAATTTCCCCCTAAAATGTCAGTAATGTATATTTATACTTAAACGCTCCAAGGAAAAGGTGATTTTAAAACTGCCATTTGTATGTTTGATGATCCACAAACTCTAGGGTCAGCATGATTTACTCAATTTCATGCCATTATCTCTTATTTTACTCACATTAATCTAAGTAATTCTACCACCTCAAGCCAGTCCTAGAAGTGTTCTCATTTCAATTAAGACTTTTAAGTGTTTTTCAACTGTCATTTAGCCATATTACACCTTAATTGTTTGTGTTACTCTTCCATGAAATGTTTCCAAATGGTTTTTACTCTGCCTAAGGGGATGGAAAGGACTTGTATAAAGTCATCAGGTTATGTGGAATTCTTTGATGAATTATAATGACCAGCAGATCTTCTTCCGGTCTTTTTACTATCAAAATGGTTGATGCAAGTAACCAAAACTGTATTTAGTATGGTGAACAACACCGACTGCTAAGTGTCAGAATTCTTCTGCTCCAAGATGAAAAAAAAATATTATATTTATTTACCATCAATTTGAACTAATTTTGGCAGAATTCTTGACCAGTGCATTCTTTGTTAAGGTTTTAAAATATCTTCTTTGTCTATCAATGTATATATACAATCAGAAACTTACATTTTTCCTAATTATATAAGGGTTTTCCTATCTTCATTTTGATATATCCAAATTTCAAGTTAAAGCAAATAATTGCTACAAAAGCATCTATTGAGTGTATTTTATTTGTGAGGCAATGATACTACGGGATTTATGTTTTTTGCCCTTCAGGACCTTACCATGTGGTTTAGTTAATGAGAAGTTTATACCTTTTAACACTGTTTAATGTCACCTTTCTGTTGCAGTTCTGATCATTTGCTTTTTGGCCATATACCGTCCTCACTGGTTTCCTAGCCTCCAGTCTCACTCACCTCGACTGGTTCTCACTCTGCTGATGGCGATCCTACCAACACACAAAGGAGACACACCAGCCTCTACTCCAATTGCTCAACCAGTCCTAATCTGCTTAATGAAAGAAGACTCAAGTCGCCCCAACTCCTGCATATCCTCATTTTGTTATTTCTTAATACTTCCCATTTGTGAAATGCAACAAAGTCACAGTGAATTGCTTAAAAGGTTCTGAACATACCATTCATATTCTGGCGTATGTGTCTTTCTATACCTTGACCTTTCTGTGTGAAACACCCTTCAACACTAGTTTTTTTCTGACAAGGCGCTACAGGATTCGGCACCGGGCTGTGGCCTTGGCTGCATTTCCTACCATTTTCTCCTTTACTCTGACGGGGTGTAAGAAATGTTAACCCAAAATATGACACCTTGGAAATGAAGAAAACAGCACAAGCAGTAAACTCTGTCTGACCTTCCCTCTCCCCCTTCTTCCCTGAAGCAGACCATAAAACCTAGGAGGGGTCGGGGCGCAGCGGCTCACGCCTGTAATCCCAGCATTTGGGAGGCCGAGGTAGGTGGATCACAAGGTCAGGAGATCAAGACCATCCTGGCTAACATGGTGAAACCCCGTCTCTATTAAAAAATACAAAAAATTAGCCAGGCATGGTGGCACACACCTGTAGTCCCAGCTACATGGGAGGCTGAGGCAGGAGAATCATTTGAACCCAGGACGGGGAGCTTGCAGTGAGCCGAGATCATGCCACTGCACTCCAGCCTGGGTGACAGAGTGAGACTCCATCTCAAAAAACAAAACAAAACAAAACAAAACAAAACAAAAACCTAGGAGGTTCATTCTCTGACCTTCTTCTCCAAAGAACCTCATGTGACAGGTGTCCTACACCAAACCTGGAAGGAAGGAATGAACATAATGACACCAAGAAGAAACTGAACAAATAGGCCTTGCTAAATTTCCCCCAGTTGATTATGGTTAGGTCATACCCCTTTGTCCTCCAATCATGCTTATGTATAACTGTCTGTGAAAACACACGGATCTCCCCGTTTCTCTGGGTCTCAGTTTCTGAAGGCTCCCATGTGGTAAACAAAGTTTAGCCTAAAGCTGCCTCCTTATGTATTTTAAGTTCAGCCTAAAGGTTTCTCTGTATATTGTGAACTACAACCTAAATAGAGGTGTAAATGGGCTGTAACCTACTGTTGTGCCAATCACTGAGTTTTGGCCAATCAAACGTGGCCAATTGTTCAAACCATGTTTAAATAAGACAATACTGAGCTGTAGCCAGTCTGGCTGTTTCTGTACCTCACACTTCCATTTCATAGAGATCACTTTCTTTTTTTGTTCATAAATCTTCTTCCAATATGTGAATGCACTGGAGTCTGAGCCTACCCTGGCTCAGGAGGTTGTTTGATTCATGACTCATTCATTACTCTTTTAAATTTAATTCGGCTAAAGTTTTTCTTTGAACACATGTCGTGTAAAACTTCTATTAAATCAACTTGTTATGCCTTTCTTTTGTTAATCTTTTGTTATAGGAGTCTCGGCCATGGACTTTGTGATGAGTGAAAAAAAGATAATACTTTTTCTCCTTTACAACACACTGTACTGTAGTTTGCAACTTTCTTGATGTTTTTCCAACATGCCAAGCATATTCTTGTTTTTGGCCTTTCCCCTTGCATTTCTCCCTACCTGGAATACTCATCCTCTGTTGATGTGTTTTCTTCTTCTCTTCCTGTATTACCTCCTCAGAGAGCCTTCCCAATCACCCTTTCCTTCTTTTTTTTTTTTTAAGACGGCGTCTCACCAGGCTGAAGTCCAGTGGTGCAGTCTCAGCTCACTGCAAACTCCGCCTCCCAGGTTCAAATGATTCTCCCGCCTCAGCCTCCTGAGTACCTGGGACTACAGGCGCGTGCCCAGCTAATTTTTGTATTTTTAGTAGAGATGGGTTTTCACTCTGTTAGCCAGGCTAGTCTCAAACTCCTGAGCTCGTGAACTGCCTGCCTCGGCCTCCCAAAGTGCTGGGAATACAGGCGTGAGCCACCATGCCCCGCCCCCAATCACCCTTTTCTAAAATACCGTTCCTGTCCATAACTTCTTAAAGTGAGTAGTGGGTAGTGTTTTCTTCACAGGACTTGTCAATACCTAACATTATACTGTATATTACTTGTTCATCTTCTATTTCTCTCTCATGAATTAAGCTGTTTGACGACTGGGACTATGCCTGTTTGACTGACAGTGGTATCTTTAGTAAGTCAAACAACATTTGATACTTAAAAGGGGTTCAGAAAATTTTTCTAAATGAATAAAATGAACGTCAATTTTTCCTTATCTTTCAAGATCCACTTTCAGTATTATCACATCTATCAAAACTCTATAAACTGAATGATATGTTTTACTACTTAAACTTTTTTTTTTTGAGATGGAGTATCACTCTGTTGCCAGGCTGGAGTGCAGTGGCACAATCTCGGCTCACTGCAACCTCCGCTTCCTGGGTTCAAGCCATTCTCCTGCCTCAGTCTCCTGAGTAGCTGGGACCATAGGTGTGCGCCACCACACCCGGCTAATTTTTGTATTTTTAGTAGAGACGGGGTTTCACCATGCTGGCCAGGATGGTCTCGATCTCCTGACTTCATGATCCTCCTGCCTCAGCCTCCCAAAGTGCTGGGATTACAGGCGTGAGCCACCGCGCCGGCCTACTTAAACTTTTCTAATGCCTGTCTTGACACTAGTTTCCATAACTGGCTTGCAGTTCTTGTGTTGAACCCTATTCATCCTCCTGAATTGCAAAACACTATGATAAATAGGTAACACTGCGCCCTTAAAAACTGACAATCTAGCTAAGAAATATTCTAAAAAATATTAGGGTATCTCAGCAACATGTAAATAGTTAAGTAAAATTCCCTTTTTAGCAATGTTACCTCCCTGCCTCCCGTAACACATAGTGATAACAAATAATACTGTAAGTCCTAGTAAGTGTGCATTCTGTATGGTTTAAACTGATTTACACTTTGGTGGTGTTGGCCTTTCTCTCAAATCCATTAATCAAAAGTAACTTAAATATACAAATACACATTTGTTTTTGGTTTGTTTGTGCATCTGTTTTTAGAAATCCTGATGTTCTTTAGAAACAATGTCAATAAAAACTTTTTCCACACCCTAGTTGATAAAATAGTGAGATAAAGAGAAGCAAGGAAAAAGTGGCTATTTCTTGAAGTAAACATTTCCATTAGTCTACAACACTCTTTTCCTTTACTAGTACTTAAAAGCAGAAAATGAGGGGAAATGGTTATTTATTTTTGCCTTTACGTCCTTTTCTCTGGTTGGTTGGTTGGTTTGGACAATTTAAAAAGATCTTAGAACAATATGCAACAAGAATCTCACATTTTCCTTGGAGTCTCTATTTAAATTATTTTAGTTATATTCCCATTTCATGAAAATATATTTCAAGGTTTCAATCCTTGAAGTATAATAAATATAATTTTGATAAAATTAATCTTGCAAAAAATTTGAAATGCTTACCTTGAAAAAACTAAAGGAATTATTGGAGGATACTGGGAAGACGGCAGAGTTGGAAGCTCCGAGAATCTGTCTCCCGACCTAGACAACAATTGCGTCGGTGGAATCTCTAACTATTTTGGAACTCTGGAGTGTATTGAAGGCTTGCAACTTCCACGGGAAGGCTTGGACAGCGAAGTATGGTTAATTTCCATCGATTTCAGCTTTTCGCGGCGTAGCAGCTACTCATCCCCCACCCCTCACTACCTGGCAAACCTGATGTGCACCTGTTTCTGAAACCCTGAAAACAGCTTGCAGGAGCCAGAGGAGGTAAAGAGGGCCCTATTCTCCAAATATCAGGGATCTGTGCTCTGAGCACTGATTGTTGCTTCAGATCACAGAGGTGCAGACAAAAGGCAGGCAGCCATTGTTGCCCCTTCCCCATTAATGCAATCCACTGCTCCGCCCTCTCCAGTTGAAATGACTTCCAGAGGGTTTAAAGGGCCCTGCACCCTCTCTCAAATCCCTGTCATTTTTCTCTTTTTCCCCTTTTGGGAGTCAGATATTAAAGACTTAGGAGATTCAAAAAAACAACAGTATATATGGGGAAAATAAGAAAGCGACTACCTGTGCCCAGGGAAAGGATCAGAAAAGAGCTAGGAAAACCTTAACTTTACACCACAGGCTAACTCTAGGCACAGAGATAGCCTGCAACAACAACAACAAAACAAACAAATAACAAAAACAAAACAAACAACAAACCGTGAGGAAGAGGGAGACTATGCTTTCCAGAGTTATCACTTTTGGAGCTCAAAACATGTTATTTCAAAGTATGCCAGTTGGGTGTGCTGAGTGCTTTAAGCTGAAGGACAGTGGAAGGGCCTCAGAAGCAAGATCTCTCTGACCTTCTCCTACCCTCCTGTCTCCTTTCTTTCTCCCCTGAAACAACTCATAGAAATTAGAATTTCTTTATCCCAAGGTGTGTTGTAAAAATTAGTACTACTCTTGCCAGGCGCGTTGGCTCACACCTGTAATCCCAGCACTTTGGGAGGCCGAGGCAGGCGGATCACGAGGTCAGCAGTTCGAGACCAGCCTGGCCAACATGGCGAAACTCTGTCTCTACTAAAAATAACAAAAATTAGCTGGGTGTGGTGGCAGGCGCCTGTAATCCCAGCAACTTGGGAGGCTGAGGCAGGAGAATCGCGTGAACTCAGGAGGTGGAGGTTGCAGTGAGCCAAGATCGCGCCATTGCACTCCAGCCTGGGCAACAAGAGTAAAACTCCTTCTCAAAAAAAAAAAAAAAAAAAAAAAAAAAAAAAAGGAAAAAAGAAGAAGAAATTAGAACTACTCTTTCCCAAACAAGCCATAAAACCTAGAAAGGGTACTCTCTTTTTCTCCCTTCTCCCATGAAGACCTTCATTCTAGAAAGTTTCTTCCCCATACCTGAAAAAAAAAAAAAAAAAAAAAAAGCCATACAGAGAGGCCAAGAAGAATCTAGACAAGACTCACTGGGGTTCCCCCTTCGGTCTATTACCATCATATTATACCCTTTTGTCCAATCACATTTCTACATGGCTGCCCGTTCTTCAATGAATATAAGTATAAAAATAGGCAGTTTTCCATAGGTCTTTGAATCTTCATTTCTGAACTCTTCTGTATCACATACAACTTTGATTAAATAAATTTGTTATGCTTTTATCCTGTTAATCTGTGTTTTAAGAGTGTCAGCCATAACCTTTATGATGGGTGAGAAAAGTGTCACATCTTTCTGTACTTACTTCATATTATTAGATTCAAATGTACAGTTTCCAACAAAAAAATGAGAAGGCATACAACGAAACAGAAAAGTATGGCCTATTCAAAGGAAAAAAAGTAAATTAACAAAAACTACCCCTGAAAAAAACCTGATGGCAGCTATATGAGACAAACATTTAAAACAACTGTCTTAAAGATGTATAAAGAACTAAAGGAAGATGTGGAGAATATCAAGAAAATGATGTATAAACAAAATGAAAATATTGATAAGGAGATAAAAAACCTAAAAAGAAACAAAAAATTCTGGAGTTGAAATAATAATAACTAAATTTAACTAAAATTTAAAAATTCACTAGAGGGATTATATGCAGATTTGAGGAGGCAGAAGAATCAGTAGAGTTGAAGATAAGAAAACGGACATTAATAAATCTGGGAAACAGAGAGAAAAAGGTTGAAGAAAAATGAATAGGGACTAAAGGACCCCTGGGACATCATGAAACAGATGAACATATGCATTGTACGTATCTCAGAAGGAGAAAAGGAAGAGAAAGGGGCATGGAGAATATGTGAAGAAACAATGGCTGAAGAAGATACAACAAGTATAAGCATATATGTATCTAATGACAATCAGATTTCAAATTTTGTGAAAGACATGAATATTAACATGCAAGAAAATCAATGAACTCCGGCTAAATTAAACTCAAAGGGATACGAAGATACATTATAATCAAACTTTTGAAAGAAAAAGAGAATTTGAAAGCAGAAAGAGAGAACCAACTCATAATAGACAAGGATCAGATTACTTGCAGATTTCTCACCAGAAACTTTGGAGGCCAGAGGCAGTGGGCTGATCTATTCAAAGTGCTAAAAGAAAAACAAAACAAAACTCTGCTTACCCCAAATCCTACCTCTAGCAAAACTATCCTTCAAAAGTGAGAAAGAAATTAAGACATTTCCAGATAAGCAAAGCCCAAGGGACTAGACTTGCCCTGTAAAAAATGTTCAAGGGACTTCTGTGAAATGATAGGATACCAGGCAGTAACTTGAAGTCATAGGGAGAGAAACAGATTTCAATAAAGGGAAATATGAAATATGTGGGCATTTGTAAAACTTAGTATGATTGTAACAAAAGTTTTTAACTCTACTTTTTTTCCTATATGATTTCAGAGACTAATACATTAGAAGAATTATTAGTCCAAAAGCTAGTATTACTTTGGTATATACCTCCACATAATCAACTCCAAATAATTTTTTAAAGTAGTGCATTTCAAAGAATTATTAGTATGTGTTTATGGGCACACAATGTATAAATATATAATTTTCTGATATAAACAACTGAAAGCTGTGGGGATGAAGCTGTAAAGGAGAAAAGTTTTTGTATGTTATTGAAGTTAAGCTGGTATAAACACAAATTAGAATGTTATAACTTTAGGATGTTAAGTGTAATCTCCATGATAACTACAAAGAAGACAGCTATAGAATATACACAAAAGAAAATAAGAAATAAATGTAAACATTTCAATACAAAAACCAAAACCAAAAGAAGATAATAATGCAGGAAATGAGAAATAAAAAGTTATAAGGTATTATGGAAAACAAATAATAAGAGAACAAAGTAAGTTCCTCTTTATCATTAATTACTTTAAATGTAAGTGGAATAAAATTTCCAATCAAAAGACAATGATTAGCAAAACTGATAAAAATACATCATCCAACCATATGCTACATACAAGGACTACTTTTAGATCCAACAACACAAATTGATTAAAAGTGAAAAGATGGAAAAAGATATTCCATACAAATAGTAATCCAAATAGAGCAGGAGTAGCTATGCTAATATCAGACAAAATAGACTTTTGAAAAGTTTAAAAGAGAAAAAAAAGCATTATATATTAATAAAAAATTCAATACAGCAAGATGTAATAATTATAAACATTTATGTACCTAATGACAGACAATCAAATATATGAATCAAAAACTGATAAAATTAAAGGGAGAAATAGCTAGTTGTACAGTAATGGTTGATGACTTCAGTACCCTATTCTCAATAATGGAGATACAACCAGACGGAGGATAAGTAAGAAAATAGAGAAGTTAAACATGATAAACTAACTAGATCTAACAGACATATATAGAACACTCTACTCAACAACATCATACACATTCTTCTCAAGTGCACATAAAACAGTTTCCAGGATAGACCATGTGGTGGGTCACAAATTAAGCCTCAATAGATTTAAAAAGAGGTAGATATGATCTGAAGTCTCTTCTCCAAGCACAATGATGACATTAGAAATCAATAACAAAAGTAATACGGGAAAATCCAAAAATTTGTTGCAATTAACCAACATGGTCTTATAGAAGATATTACAAGGGAAAATAGAAAACACTTAGATATAAAGGAAAATGAAAATACAACATACCCAAACTTATGTGACACATAGAAAACAGTAGTAATTGATAAATTTATAGCTATAAATGTTTACATTAAAAAGCAAGAAAATCCAAAATCAACAACCTGAGTTTACAACTTAAGGCACTAGAAAAACACAAACAAACTTAATCAAAAACTAGCAGAAGGGAAAAAAAATAGACATCAGAGCAAAGATAAATAGAATAGCAGATAGAAAATAGGGAAAAATCAATGAAATGAAATTTGATTATTTTAAAAGATCAGTAAAATTGAAAAGCTTTTAGCTAGGTGGACTAAGAAAAGAAAGAAAGAAGACTCAAATTACTAAAATTGGAATAAAATTGGTAACATTATTAATAATTTTACAGAAATAAAAGTATTATGACAGTACTACAAACAATTGTATTCCAACAAATTGGAGAATCTAGATAAAATTGAAAAATTTCTAGAAACACAGAACCTACCAACACTAAATCATGAAGCAATAGAAAATTTATGGAACTATCGCTAGTAAATAGATTAAATTACAAATAAAAAATATCCTACAAAGAAAGATCTTGAACCTGATGGAATTATGGGTGAATTCTACCAATTCTACCAAACATTTAAAGAAGAACTAATACTAATACTGCCCAAAGTTCTCAAAAAAATTAAAGTGGAGGGAACACTTTGTAACTCATTCTATGAGATCAGCACTACTTTGATCCCAGAGCTGGACAAAGATATTACAAGAAAATCAAACTATAGACCAATATCCTTTAAAAGCATTGATGCAAAAACCCTCAACAAAATACTAGTAAACAAAATTTTACAGCAAAATAAAAGAATTATACACTATGATTAAGTGAAATTTATTTCTGAAATGCAAGAATGGTTCAATATACAATAATCCATTTAATACACCAAGCATATTAACAGGAAGAAGGATAAAACGTGATTATTTCATTTGATAAAGAAAACCCATTTGCCAAAATTTAACATTCTTTTATAATAAAAAACTCAATAATCTAGAAATAGAAGAAAATGACCTTAACAACATAAAAGTCATATATGAAAACTCACAGTAAACATACTCAATGCTGAAAGACTGAAAACGTTTCCTCTAAGATCAGTAACAAAACAGGAATGCCCACTTTGCTAGTTCTATTCAACATAGTAGTGGGAGGTTTAGCCAGAGCAATTAGGCAAGGAGAAAAAGGTATCTAAATTGGAAAGGAAAAGGTAAATTATCTCTGTTTGCAAATTATATGATTTTATATACAGAAAATTCTAAAGATTTCACAGACAGAGACCCCCCAAAAACCTGCTAGAGCTAATATATAAATTCTGCAAAGTAGCAGGATACAATTGGGTCAATGTGAAGAAAAAAGTCTTGCATTTCTATATACTACCAATGAACAATCTGAAAAAGAAATCATAAAAACAGTTTCATTAACAATAGCTTTAAAACAAAAAAAAAAAACTAAGGAATTAATCAGGCAAGCTAAAGACTTGTGCAATGAAAACTAATAATTTAAGAAGACATAAATAAATAGGAATGCATTCTATGTTCATAGATTGGAAGACAAAACTGTTAAGACATCAACACTACCGAAAGCGATCTTCAGATTCAGGGTAATACCTATCAAAATCCCAACAATCCTCCTTGCAGAAGCTAAAAAAAAAAAAACACCTTATAATTCATGTGAAATGAAGATAGAGGACTCACATTCCCAGATTTTAAAACTTACTACTAAGCTACAGTGGTTAATACAGTGTGGTACTGTCATAAAGACATACATATAGACCAGTGGAATAGAATAGAGGGCCCAGAAATAAACCCTTGCATACATGGTCAAATGATTTTTTTAAAAGAGTGCCAAAAGGATCCAATGGGGAAAGAATAACCTTTTCAACAAATGATTCTCGGAAAATTAGATATCTACATGCAAAAAATAATAATAATAACTCACAATGAATTAAAAACCTAAAGTTCACACCTAAAACTATAAAATCTTTAGAAGATAACATGGGACAGAAGCTTCACAACATTGGATTATTTTCTTGGATATGGCATAAAAGGCATAGGCAACAAGATAAAAATAGACAAACTGGACTTTATAAAAATTTTTAAAAATTGTGCATCAAAAGACAGTATCAACAGAGTAAAAAGGCAACCCACAGAATGGGAGAAAATATTTGCAACTGATAAGGAATTAATATTCAGTATATATAGAGAACTTCTAAAGCTCAGTAATGAAAAAATAATCAATTCAATTCAAAAATGGGCAAAGAACTTGAGTATGCATGTCTTTAAACAAGATATACAAATATCCATGAAAAGTACATGAAAAGGGCCAAGTGCAGTGGCTCATGCCTGTAATCCCAGCACTTTGGAAGGCTGAGGTGGGTGGATCACCCAAGGTCAGGAGTTTGAGACTAGCCTGGAGAACATGGTGAAACCCTGTCTCTACTAAAAAAAATACAAAAATTAGCTGGGTGTGGTGCATGCCTTTAGTCTCAGCTACTTGAGAGGCTGAGGTGGGAGGATCACTTGAACCAGGAGGTGGAGGTTGCAGTGAGCCAGATTGTGTCAATACACTCCAGCCTGGGCAATAGAGCAAGGTTACCTCTCAAAAAAACAAACAAACAAACAAACAAACAAACAAAAAACAAAAACACACACACATGAAAAGATACTAAACATTCACATGGAAATGCAAACAAAAGCTACATTGAGATACGACCTCATATCTATTAAGATGGCTACTAACAATGAAACAGAAAATATCAACTGTTGCCAATGACGTGAAGAAATTGAAACACGTGTGCCCTGCTAGTAGGAATGGAAAATGGTATAGCCTCTATGGAAAACAATATGGAGGTTCCTCAAAAAAATTAAAAGTAGATTTACCTTATGATCCAACCATGCAGCCAAAAGAATTGATATCATGATGTTGAATAGAAATTTGTACCCCCACGTTCATAGCAGCACTGCTTACAATAGCAGAAATGCAGAGGCAACCCAAATGTCCATTGATTAATAAATGGATGAGCAAAATGTATTATAAACATACAAGAAAATGTTATTTAGCCTTAAAAAGGAAGGAACTTTTTACATATGCTACGACATGGATGAAGCTTGAAGACATTATGTTAAATGAAATAAATCAGTCACTAAAAGACAAATCTTACATGATTCCACTTACATGAAATACTTGAAGTAGTCAAAATCTATAGAGACAGAAAGTAGAAGAGAAGTTGCTGGGGATGAGGGGAGAGGGGAATGGTGAGTTATTGTTTAATGACTACAGAGTTTCAGCTTCACAAGATGAAAAGAGTTGTGGAGATGGATAGGAGGGAAGGATGCATAACATTATGAATGTATTCTATGTCAAGGAACCGTACACTTTAAAATGATTAAGATGGTAAGTTTTATGTTTCGTATATTTTAGCTCAAGAGAAAAAAATTGATAAAAGAAGGAGTATCATGAAGACAACTTTCATTTCTGATAAACGTTTATTTCAAACAATTTGAGTTTGAGCCAAAGGTCGGATTAAAAAATATATTTGGGTCCACAGCTAAATAAGATTTTCAGTGTGTTGATTTAAAAATGTGCAGAAATGCAATAGCTTGTTATTATGATTTTCTATTCTTCTTCAATGCCCTGTAGCTTTTAGTTACTACAATTACAGTAGAGGAAAGGTAAATCAAGATGTGTGAAAACAGTGATGAACACTGAATAGCCTGACTGGAAATCATGATTTTGATTGGTATTTTCTCTAGCCAATTTCTAGTATTTCTACTTTTCCTGAACTATGTATTAGTAAACAACCAAATGTTCTACAATACATATTCTTCACTGTATACATTTCTGTTATGTTTTTATTGTCTTATGTACAGTTACAACTATAATCTCCATACTATGACACTTATGTTTCTTTGGGTTTTAGCTTCTACTCAGAGAGTTGAATACATTCCCAGTGGTGTGTCTGCATTTTCCACCAGTTGCTTTTATCAACATATTTCAAAATGGACTCATATTTGCCTTCTAAGCAGCTTCTCCACAACTCTCATGATTTCTGTGCTCGCACAACATTCTGTAGGTTTGAAATCCTTTAAATAGGGTAAAAATTGGCATCCCACGGATTGCAGCAAAGCAGCAGGCATGTTTTTTACTTGTTTGTTAATATTTAGCCCTCAAGATGTTAGTCAATATACTGTTAACAAACACATAACATTAAAGAAGACACCAGTACTGAATGAATGATCAAGGAGCAGCCTTGGAATACAGGCAGTGACTCAGCTAGCCCCTATAGCAACTGCATGAATTCACAACACCTCTCCATTCTAAAAGATGGCCACGCCCCTGTGCTTGAGGTCAATGTTTAGGTGGGTAGACTATGGGCTATATTTCAGCTAATACTTCCTTGCTTGATGGTAGAATTATACAGCAAGTCAGCTGATGATTATATATAGTGACAATGGATATAGACACTAAATGCAAAAAATCATAGGTTCAGGGCACAGCTGTTCAGAGGACTGGTGCTAACAGGTATCCTGAAACTGCAGATCATGAGACATTAGCAGGTGCTGCCTGTGAGCCACTGGAACCCTACAAGCATGAGTCTGCAAATCCTGCACTGAATAACTGGAAGAGGCTATCAGCAGTTATGCCATCCACTGTAATCACCTGCTAGTAAGGGTCCTGGTCTCTCCCTTAAATTATTTTGTATTGCTTCTGCATGATGCTACCTGACTTCAAACTATACTATAAGGCTACAGTAACCAAAACAGCATGGTACTGGTATCAAAACAGAGAATAGACCAATGGAACAGAACAGAGCCCTCAGAAATAACACCACACATCTACAAGTATCGGATCTTTGACAAACCTGACAAGAACAAAAAATGGGGAAAGGATTCCCTATTTAATAAATGGTGCTGGGAAAACTGGCTAGCCATATGTAGAAAGCTGAACCTGGATCCCTTTCTTACACCTTATACAAAAATTAATTCAAGAAGGATTAAAGACTTAAATGTTAGACCTAAAACTATAAAAACCCTAGAAGAAAACCTAGGCAATACCATTCAGGACATAGGCATGGGCAAGGACTTCATGACTAAAACACCAAAAGCAATGTCAACAAAAGCCAAAATTGACAAATGGGATCTAATTAAACTAAAGAGCTTCTGCACAGCAAAAGAAACTACCATCAGAGTGAACAGGCAACCTACAGAATGGGAGAAAAATTTTGCATTCTACCCATCTGACAAAAGGCTAATATCCAGAACCTTCAAAGAACTTGAACAAATTTACAAGAAAAAATCAAACAATCCCATCAAAAAGTAGGCAAAGGATATGAACAGACATTCTCAAAAGAAGACATTTATGCAGCCAAAAGACACATGAAAAAATGCTAATCATCACTGGCCATCAGAGAAATGCAAATCAAAACCACAATGAGATACCGTCTCATGCCAGTTAGAATGGTGATCATTAAAAAGTCAGGAAACAACAGGTGCTGGAGAGCATGTGGAGAAATAGGAACGCTTTTACACTGTTGGTGGGAGTGTAAACTAGTTCAACCATTGTGGAAGACAGTGTGGCAATTCCTCAAGGATTTAGAACTAGAAATACCATTTGACCCAGCCATCCCATTACTGGGTATATACTCAAAGGATTATAAATCATGCTACTATAAAGACACATGCACACATATGTTTATTGTGCCACTATTCACAATAGCAAAGACTTGGAACCAACCCAAATGTCCATCAATAATAGACTGGATTCAGAAAATGTGGCACATATACACCATGGAATACTATGCAGCCATAAAAAGGATGAGTTCATGTTCTTTGTAGGGACATGGATGAAGCTGGAAACCATTATTCTGAGCAAACTATTGCAAGGACAGAAAATCAAACACGGCATGTTCTCACTCATAGGTGGGAATTGAACAATGAGAACACTTGGACACAGGGCAGGGAACATCACACACTGGGGCCTGTCATGGGGTGGGGGGAGGGGGGGAGGGATAGCATTAGGAGAAATACCTAATGTAAATGACGAGTTAATGGGTGCAGCAAACCAACATGGCACAAGTATACCTATGTATCAAACCTTTACATTGTGTACACGTACCCTAGAACTTAAAGTATATAAAAAAATTATTTTGAACTGCCTCTGGATAACCACACCAAAATTGTTGATACAAACTTATTACCTTCGTATTTGGCAATCTTTAATGGTCCTATACTGTTTATTTTCCTAGACCATTTATGGGCCTCCATAAAAGGTCCTCAAATGACAATTATTAGGTTGGTGCAAAAGTAACTGCAGTTCTTGTCATCATTTTTAATGACAAAAACTGCAGTTACTTTTGCACCAACTTGATCCAATATCATTATTCAGGACTTTCCTACATGATCCCCATGGTCCAGGAAAATTAAGACACCTCTTACTTCCTGATAAACACATAAGCACCTGAATATCCTACAATATTTATCCTTTCGAAATTGCATGTATGGCCAAGAGCAGTGGCTCATGCCCATAATCTCAGCACTCTGGGAGGCCACGGCAGGCAGATCGCTTGAACCCATGGCAAAACCCTGTCCCTACAAAAAAATTAGATGGGCATGGCAGCGCAGGCCTGTAGTCCCAGCTGTTTAGAAGGCAAATGTAGGAGAATTGCTTGTGCCCTGCAAATCGAGGCTGCAGTGAGCTGACAGTATGCCCAGCCCGTGTGACAAAGCGAGAGCCTGTCTCAGAAAGGAAAAAAAAAATTGCATGTATTCTTGAAAGAGTCTACACTTCAAACTCTTTTAGGAAGTTTGTTCTTATTGCAAATGGTTAAGGTATATTCCTGCAAACTACAATACAATGTAGTTTGCATTTCACACAGGTTATGACATTTAACATACATTGTATTATATTTTAGATTATGTTAGCAATTGGAAGTTACAAAATGCTGTATATTTTTCAATGTACTTGGCTTATTTTAAACTAGTCAATTAAAAATTCATTGAGAACAAAATTTTCTTTCTTTTTGATGCTACTTTCCATGATCGATGTGAAATTCTTATGTTGAGTCAACTGTTTTAGGTCATTGGTATGCAAATATAAAATAAAGTTTGTACTTTAGATTATTTTGAACCATACATGTCTGTCTTATGTTTTCTTAGATGATATCTATGTACATTTTTTTCCCATGACATAGCCTCAGGAGGTCCTGACAACATATGTCCTGAAAACATGTGCTTTTTTTAACATTGTTTTATGGACAAAGGTAGGTATATAATCCTACTGCTCTTGGTCTCTGGGAAACAAGTTTTATACCAATCAGCTTCATTATCACATGATTGTAATTTCTTGCGGCTAAGGATCAAGTCTCATTTGTCTTTTTATCTTTGGCACTTAGCACAGTTCTTGATCCAAAGTAAAATCTCAATGCATGATGTTCCATAAGTGAATAAATGAATGAATAAATCATATGAGAGAGGAAACTTTTTGATCTTTTTCTTTTCCCTCAAATAATAGACATGGATAAAATTAAGAGCTAATTCATTCCTCCAAAGATGGAAAGGAGAAATATTTATATGTATACACATATACTTCCTTCATTACTTGTAATTCTAAAAATCATATTGCTACACGGACATGTGATGTGTCATATTAAATAAACACATTTAATTATTACTGGTTAGAATTCATAAATTTGATTCTGAGATGACAGATATCATCCCTGCTTCAGACACTCTTAAGTTTTCAAAACGGAAGGCATTCTTGACAAAAAAGTGAGCCTAAATTCAACCTAGACTACAGAGCTGTTTTCCAGTATATGAGAAATAACCAGAGTGAGAAATGAGTTAAATAACCCTGCCAGGAAACAAAAGCAAACTAAACACCTGTGAAAATTTACAGAATAACTCACCTGGTTTCTTCAACAAGTCAATGGCATGAGACAAAGAAGAGAGAGAGAAGGACTTCTCCAGATAAAAAGGGATTTAATGAAGAAACACAAAACCAAATGCAATGTTTGGGCCTTACTGGGATTACGATGCAAAACAGACCAACTGTAAAAAGATGTTTTCAGAATAAAGGAAACCAAAATATTTCACCCCAAAATATACTTTTACATATTTCAAGATGGCTATTCAGAAGGACTGGAAATATAAGAATAGCTGAAAATCTGCCTTTTAGAGGAGAGATTTACATCTGTACGGAAAATCTGATGTAGCCAGGCTTTCTCAGAAATCCTCTCTTGTTCTGATCCAGGAAAGATTAACTAGGAATCTGGAATCTCTATGGTCTGGAAAAAAAAAAATTCCCATCTGTTCTCTCTGAGGGGTGCTACCTGCGAGGTTTTATCTACATGACAAGACCGCCTTTGCAGACCAGGCCTTCTCTTCTCTCTCTCCCATAACCTGTTTTGCCAAGATCCAAGCCCCTAGTCTTTCTGTAACCTCAAGATGGTATAACAGTGTCTACCATCTGGCCGTGCCTTTGCTTTCTTAGGTATTGTAAGACTCGCATGCACATTAACAGACTTGTATGATTTTTCTCCTATTATTGTGCCTTTTGTCCACTGATTTTTCCAAAAAAGCTTCAGATGATGAAAGAGAAGTTTTCCATTCACTCCTTCAAGGACAATTGAGAAAATTGTATGTTAACTGTATATTAGAAACTATGAAGGATGTATTGTAAATTTTGTTGTGTGGCTGGGTGCAGTGGCTCATGCCTGTAGTCTCAGCACTTTGGGAGGCCGGAGCAGGAGGATTGCTTGACCCTGGAGTTTGAAACCAGCCTGGGCAACATAGTGAGACCCTGTCTCTACAAAAAAAAAAAGTGCTGAACATGGTGGCACACATCTGTGGTCCCAGCTACCTGGGAGGCTGAGGTGGGAGGATTGCTTGAACCCCAGAGGTCGAGCCCCAGAGGTCGAGGCTACAGTGAGGTGTGATTGGGCCACTGCACTCCAGCCTGGGCAACAAAATGAGACCTTGGCTCAAAAAAAAAATTAGTTAAGTGTAGTTATGCACAAAAAATATGTTTTAGAGATTTACACTGAATGTGAAGGAGTGAACTGACAAAATGTCGAGGACTTGCTGTAAAATGCATTCACAAAAAAAAAGAGGTAGGGGAAGGAGCACATAACAAGCACATATGACAACATGGTAATGACTATTGGGTCTACGTAGCGTTCATTATTCTCTATGCATGTGACTGTTTGAGAGTTTTCGTACTAAAATACATTTAACGATACCCAGTACAAATCGAGATTTGTATATATTTCAAATGAAGAAGATTAAGTGAGGATGTTATTAAATGTGTTTGTAAAATAATGAATGCTTGGCGTGAGCATTCATAGAAAGATATGTTAAAACAAACACACCACAAGCAGGTAAAGATGGTCAAGTGTTGAGATTTCTCCAATTGCAATCCTTCTCCCAAGGAGACTGATCCCTTTTTATTGTACTCTCTAAACTTGGTGATATCCTATATTCAGGGTAGAAAACGAGAAATGTAACAGATTTGTCCTTCTGCTGTGGCTAAATTGAAAGACAGCAGCAAAGGAAAGAGAGAGAGGTGGCAGAGTTTACTAGCTGCAAAAGGCATCAGAGAAAGAGATAGCCTTGCTGTGACTGAGATAAGGGAAGCTGTGAACAGCTAGAAAGTTAAGAACAAATTGTAAGAGAGTTTTTTTATATCAAGCTGTTTTTAAAGCCATCGATAAGCCTCAGGGGTGTCATATTATGAGGTGTCTATTCAGGGCTGGAAAAAAAGAGAATATTCTAATAATTTTAATATCTGTGACATTTTAGACCCTACCCTTTGCCAATCATTAAATTAAGCACTTTTATTTATCATTTTACTCAATCTTGCATCTCAGCAGGCAGATAACATTAGCACCATTTTATAGATGACAAAATCGAGGCTAACAAAGTTTAAGTCATTTGTTTAAGCTAGTTACAGGCCAGGTGACATTCAAACTCAGGTGTGCCTGGCCTCAACTTTTCACATTCAACCTTGGAAAGAAAATAATTATCATACTTTAGCTTCAAATTAAAATCAATACTATGTTGACCTGAGTTTATAATTACATGAGTTATAAAATGCATTCATAATTTTTGTTTTGTTTTGTTTTGTTTTTTGATACAGGGTCTCACTCTGTTGCTCAGTATGGTGGTGCGATCTCAGCTCACTACAACCTTGACCTCCCTGGCTCAAGAGATTCTCTCACCTCAGCCTCTCCCGTAGCTGGGACCACAGGGATGCGTCACAATGCCCAGCTAATTTTTGTATTTTTTGTATTGATGAGGGTCTCACTATATTGCCTAGGCTGGAATAAAACTCCTGGGAGCAAGCAAACCTCCCACCTCAGCCTCCCAAAGTGCTGGGATAACAAGTGTGAGTCACTGTGCCTGGCCACATTCATGATTTTTAAAAAATCAAACATGTTCTACATGCTAAGATGTTTCTCACTGTAAGTCATTTTTGAGACCATGCTTAGTAAAAGTGAATTTACTTGTTGTTGCATAGGTATTTCAATACTATTTTATTTTGTTTTGTTAAACAAAAAAGGCAATGATTAGAGAAACTCTTCTTCACCCTTAGGTAAGCACATTAATGTTTCACAAAAATTCTAATCATGAAACCAAGTGGTCTTTCTTCAACTGAGTCAATATATATTAAGTTTTATATTCAAGTATTCAAAAGAGGCATCAGAATATCATGATGCCTCTGATATTCTGAAATGCCACTGAAAATCAAAGTGAAAAAAGGAAATAATGCAAGTCTTGCTACTAATCTAGGGCAGCAGTGATGTGATCTTTACAGTTGGTGTCTCACTCAGAGCCTGGTACCGACCCTAGGAAGTTAAGCCTGCAGCTGTTAAGGAGACCACTGCCTAATGGAGCTGCAAAGCGCTCTGCTCAATCAATTCCACAAAGTCTCTTTCTCTAGGTAAAAAGAGGTTGGCTTTACTGAACCACTTTGTTGTCATTTAGATAGTCATTAGGGTCAACAACAATTGCCATTAAAGAGAGAGTAATGGCTCTATTGCTAAAAGAAGATTAGGAACTGCAATTCCAGGGGAGCTCTCTGGCAGAAACCCTCTTATAGAACTTCAGTAGAGTTCTGCTAAGGATCTGTGGTGCTGGCCCTACAAGTGTGACTGCTTATCTATTTTCAACAAGTCTTGATGGCTCTGTGAAAGGAAAATAAATCTTGGGACCCCAAAATCATTAAGCCAAAGGGAAAAGTCAAGCTGGGAACTGCATCAGGAAAACCTGCCTCCCATTTTATTCTGTTGAATTTCACCCTGGCAAGATAAATTGACGGCTTATTTTCACAGGTGCAGGACAAAGGACAGAACTCAAAGTCATCCCTTGGCTCAGCTGAGACAAATGCATGTCTGATTGCATGCTTTGCCCTACTGCTTACATTATTTTACGTAAAAATGCAGATTCCCGAGCTACACAAAGGCATAAGTGACTATTCCTCTACCCCTCTCTCATATGTAAATGGTGTATTGGTGAAAGGCTGATGAAAGACTCAAAAGATTGCAACCATTTGTCTCCCATCTACCCACACCTTTTGAAAAATTATTCCTCTTTCCCCAATATCTGCCCTTTAACCTTTAAATTTTGAAGCCCCAAAATCATCTTTGGAGAAAAGCGCAGACCTGTCTCCCTGGTGCGTGTATTTAATGTTGGCAAAATAAACTTCTACATTAATTGAGACCTGTCTCAGATACATTTTTGGTTTGCAGATGCATAGTTAACTGCGAAGTACTCTTAAATGTATATGTCCTCTTAAGTCAGCCTGCAAAATCCTGCCTCCAAATGGATTATCTGGCCATTTTCTTACTTCTCCCTGCAGTGACCGTGGCAAGCAATTGCTTAAGGTAAATATGAGGTTCTAAAGTGTGGGTTCTTTATAATGTGGTACGACAGCCCATTACATAATGTTTATAACTTTTTTCTGCATCTTCAATTTAGGAAAAGTATCTGAAGTTTTTATATTTTATTTTAAAAAATTATTGTGGAAATGCCCAGGCTAGTTTGAATTCCTGGCTTCAAGCAACCCTCTCATCTTGGCCTCCCAAAGTGCTGAGACTACAGACATGAACCACTGTGGCAGGCCAGGTATCTGAAATTTTAAAAGAAGAGTTTACTTAATTCAGGAAAAGAAGTGTTGTGGTGACTAAAACTAAAGATGATTTTCTCCATAAGGTAATTAAATGCCTTTCCAGTGGACAATGGGGGAAAACAATGAAGTTTTCAAATTTTCCTTTTTTTTCAAAGTGGACCCTCCGTCATCGCCACCCTAGCAATCTGAGTATAGGCCACACATCTTGGAAAGTAGATCTATCTACCAGGTCTGCCCTTTAGAATGGCCACATTCTACCCACCGTATCTTCTGTATAAACAATTGAATGTCATAAACAAGCACTTTCTCTGGCCTATGCACACATGCTTTCCCAGCCTTAAAATAATCCATTTCTGATTCTCATTTAGACCAATGATAAATACAACATTTTTCATTTTAGATGTGATCATGCACCATATTAACACGATTGCTCGAGGAAGATAGTCTATATCTGTTGATTGCACAACACTTTTCAAAATGCTCACTCATATTTCATCCTTATTCAAAGGCTTGAAGGTAGAGAGGGGAAGCTGACCTTCCTTCATTTACAGTGGAAAACTAATACAGAACAATTATGTTATCTCAAAGCTTAATAATAATTCTAATAAATACCTTCATTGTGCACTTACTATGTGCTTTATGCACAATGACTCATCTTATCATTGCTAAGGAATAATTAGCTAGAAATTATCTTTGGGTTTAAAATTAGAATTTTAGGCAATAATTTGCCAGTATGTAGGTGCACCAGAAAATACTGGTCAAAAGCTGAAGCTCTGGAACCTATGCCTGCTTCCTCCCATACTACTGGGGCAACTCAGGGTAGTTGTTTAGTGTCTCTGTGCCTCAGTTTCCTCATGTATATGGGAAACAATTACAGTCCCACTTCATAGGTTAAATTAGAAAATTACATATACTTAGCCTAGTACCTGATTTATGGTAGTTGCTCAGTATTAGCTGATATTCTCAATATTATTGTTTATTTCCTTGAGACTCAGCTATGTCTTAGACCAGGGAGGTAGACTTGAAATTCTCAGGATATCTGAACTTAGAAATAGATTATATCTTTCAGCATTTATACATCTTTGAATCCTTAGTAATCTGAACCTCTAAACAAACAGATTAGAAAAGAGAAAAAAAACTTACTGATCTTCTTTGAATTGATTATTATATAGAATTATATCTATAAATAACTAAAATTACTCTGCAAATAAATTAGCACACATTATTCCATTTAAATCAATTTAATATACTAGCAACAGTGAAATGACTCATGCAGGTGCTCATTTATTTATTCATTTATTCCAAACTGTATGTAAATTAATAGACAACTATCTTCTGGGCCCTCACGTAGGCAGTTAGGGAACACAAAAATGAAGAAGGCTTTGCTCACAACTTAATGGAATCCAGAGACAAACACAAATGACTGCTTTCCAAACCACCTGGGAAGTGCAAAGAGAAATATACAGGGAATATGACAGGAGTAACCCACCTGGAAAGGTGACAGAAGGTTTCCTCGAGGAAGTGGTAAATGAAGCAAGCAGGAGTTAGAGAGTTGAGGAGGGTGAGGGTAATCCTGTAAACACAGATGCAGGCTGAAATAAGACACTGAGAAGAGAGACACCATGGCTGGTGCTGAGAACTCCAGGAAATTGATAGAGTGAAAAATGTGGGACCAAAGGAACAAGAGATTAGTCTGGGGAAGCAAGCAGGGTCAGGTTACACAGGGTTTGCTCTGTTATGCTAGAGGACACGGCTAGCTTTTTATCACAGTGACAACAGGTGGCCATTCAAAGTTTACCAACAAGTGAGTGACATGACGAGGCTTGTTCTTTGTACAGATTATTTTCACAGGTATAAATGTGAAGCTCTAGGGTAGTGGTATGTGAGGGGGTACAGGAGGCAGAGAGAAGAAAACGGAGTTATTGTACCAGTCAGATGAAAGTTTTAGGCTGAATTGCAGAATCTTGGCAGGAATTGCGAGGCAGAAATAACACAATGAAGTAACAGTAAACCACCCAAAGAAGAGAATAATCTGGACAAAAATATGCCTTGTTAATGAGGTATTCATTCAAGGAATCCATCGCTACTAAAACAACAGAGCCTGGCTTACAACCCAGATCTCATGTAAAGGCGCCACAGTCAGCCGGTGCCCTCTGAAGCTACTCCAGTGTCAGCCAGCACAACGTAGGGCTCAGCCTGGAGACTGGGGGGTCTCCTGAAGAGTTTCTCAACCTCAACACTGTTGATATTTTGGACCAGAGAATTTTTTATTGTGGAAGACTTTCCTGTACGTTGTAGAATGTTTAGCAGTAGCCCAGGTCTCTACCTGCTGGAGGCAAGTATCCTCCCAGTTTTGATCAACCAGTAATGCCTTTAGGCATTGCCAATATTCCCTGGAGAACAAAATAGCCCTTAGTTGAGAACATCTGGTCTAATTCATCTTGAAAAGTGCTAGAATATTCTAGCTGCCCCAGTGCATGGGATCTGGTAAAGCATGTGTGTGCGTGTGTGTGTAGGCACTAGGGAGCAGTGAGGGTAAGTCTAGATCACTACTGTTTCATAAAGAACCCATTCCAGTGCTGTAAGTGTCTGCAGTCATTTTAGCTCCTCTCCATCAGATAAGTTTAAGTTTATTTATAACTGAATAAGTCACATTAAAACAACAACAACAATAACAATCTTCTGATTTATATTTGATGCCTCTCTTTTTATAATCAAAGATATTATGTCCTGGAAATGAAATAGTGCATGATTTGCTAGTATCAACATATTTAGAAAACGGATTTAAAAGTTCTACATGATGACAAATTACAAATTGCTAGATTGCCTACGTGCTATCTAACTTATTACAGCAGCATCTCTGAGTCCAGAGCTTTTCTTTAGCAGAATTGTGTGTAATGGCGTGGTTTTCTGATATTTCTATTAATGTTACTGCAACTAAGCAGTGCGTGTCCTAGAAAATTCCCTGGAGAGAATTTTGAGTTGTTCTTAACTGACCTTCTGACACTGGAGCTCTGCTGGTGGGTTCCCGTGGTTACAGCCATGGTAACTCTGATCGATGCATTCAGCAGTGAGGTTGATTACTAAATTCCCTGGAGATTGCACTAAAACTCCTAGAAAATCACCTCAAATCCCATATAGCAGTAGCAAGATATGATTATTAAGTAAGTTCACAGAGCCTCAAGCAGGATTAATAGCTTTATCATATTCAGGATATCAAAAAAAAAAGAGGTTTGACACCAATTTTTGCATTTGTCAGAGTGTATCTAGAATATTATGGTTGCTTCAGGTGCCACGCTTTAAGAAAAAATTTGAGAAATTCGAGCATGTCCAGAAGAGAACCACCAGGATAGTGAGTGTCCTATAGGTATGCTTGGGACTTATCCCATTTTAATGGTTAATACTGACATACTAAATGCTTGGAAATCCTATTTAGTAATAAAGAGAATTTATGATAGCCAGGAATATTGTCATATTTCTCCTCAAAATATAGTTGGTAAAATGCCAATCATGCAAAGAAAATATAATCTGATGCAAAAAAATAGCAGAGTAGCATACAATTTAAATACAGTAGGTAGTATATACTAACAATATAAAATATTTTATATATATCGGCAGTATGAACATTTTTTCTGTTGTTTTGTTTTTCATAGAGAAGAGTTCTCGCCATGTTGCCTAGGCTGATCTTGAACTCCTGGCCTCAAATGTTTCTCCCACCTCAACCTCCAAAGGGGCTGGAATTACAGGCATAAGCCACCACCCAGCCAATTTTCAGTGATTCTAAATCTGTTTATTCATATGTCTCGTGCATCCCCTTAAACATGCCTGCTACTGATGGTTGTTCATTTCACTACAAGCTCACCTAATTATTATTGTTGTTAACAATACTGAACACTAACTGAGAACAACTATGCCACGTAAATAACAAAAAAAGCTGATGCAAACCCTTCCCCATGGGGCAGGCTTCATTCTGAACCTGGATAAAAATCACGTTATGCAACAGAAAAGTCTATACAAGGCCTGAAGAAAATAAACATAATGCAGGTTTTGCTTTTTCTAAATTTAATTTAAATTTAACATTTAAGTATGCATGGCAGCTATGTAGTATATATATATATATATATATATATATTTCAGCATTGTCTTACAGGAAAATGTTTTATTTGTTTGTAATGATAGTAATAAAAACCTTTCCTAGTTGAATTGCAAAGTTATCCAAACTCAACATTGTCTATGAGTATTTTATGTGAAGTATACATTTGTTCAAAAAATGTATAAGCCTAAGCAAGGCCGTATATATGTGGAAATAGATTACATTCATACAGGAAAAGTGTTACTTCAATTTCATATTTTCCAGATGATTCACACCAAACATGTTTATCTCACTGAAATGTCTCCTTGTACCATGGTTTTTAATTTGTCTTCCTTAGACATATGTAATTTGATATTTATAATACAGTTTTATGGCAGAATAATTTTCTCTCATTGATAGAAAAAATATCTACAGGAAGATCTTCAATATTCTTTTCTCCATCCTTTCGAATTTAAAACTATTTAAAAGCTACTTGAGTATGTTGAAAGAAAAGCCACTTTAAATTATAAATCTTACTTGATTATCTCCAAGATTTTTATTTAATATAAATGCAAGCCAGAGGGAAGTTTAAAAATACCAAAATATTATATTATCAAATATGCAATTTGCAATAGTGTTTCTTTATTAAAATCACCAATTATTATTTCACATAAAATTTAATTGAGGTCATTACCCTTCTGGCAAGTTATTTCTAAAATTCTTTCTTATAAGATTTGTTATTGTAGTATTTTCCACATCAATGCTTCTTTCATATCTATATGCTTTTTATATCTATTCATAAAGATAATAGGCATCACTCATAATTTGATTGAATTAATAATCAAGTTATATATATTTAAATGCCTACAGAGAAAATATGGCCCTTTCTTTCCTTTCTGTTAATGAAGTTGAAAAGAGAGGAAGGCTCTTGCATATCCAGTAAACCATTAGTGAATCCCAACAAGCCGAAATATGCATGCATTCTGAACAAATGAAGCAAGCATTCTAATCACGTTTTCAGAGAAACATCTCCTCAGAGTATGTGAAACGTTAACATTATGCCATGTCTTATGCATCGTTACTCACTTATATACAAATACAAACCTTATACTCATTTAGAGACAAGTTCAGTCCCTGCCAAAGATCACTTGCCTGTGTGAAACTCTCTGGTTTTACTGGCCTTGATCATGTCGTTTAAGAAATTGAAGAGAAACTACTAGTTTACATGGTTCATGATGAAAACTGCAGCACGTGTTGGGATTGTACAGCCATTTGAATTGACAACAGTGTGACTATTATGACTATCTGGAGGTCTATTACCGACTTCCTTCCTTTCTTTCTCTTTTCCTCTCTATAATCATTTTTATGCCTGTTACTGCACTCTTTACTGAGGATTAAACAATTGCTACCTCACAGTTCCCACCTGGTAAGAGCTAAAATCCCATTAAAGAAAACTGCCATATAAACAAGCGGTTATATTCATGTGATTAACTTTATATTGGGAGACAAAAGCAGATAGAGAAGGGCAAGGACTACCAATTGATATGGTCCAAAAAGTGGAAATGCAGAATATTATAAGAGAAATATCAGTATTAAATACAGATAATTGGGGAAGAAAAGAGATATTTAATTGACAAATATATTTTTCTTTTCACCTAAGAGATTTGCTTTCGGAAATTTGACTGCAATGTGAAGTTATGTAAAAGGAATTCTATTTTCTCACTAACATCTATTTTAAAATGGCAAACTTCATACTGCAACAGGACACCTGTCTCTTAAATGAGAAAGTCAATGCACTCAAAGAAATAAGACATTATTAGTATGAGCATACTAATTGTATAATTGGTGTTTTGTGGCATCTTCAAGAAATCTTCAAAAATGTCTCAATTCTGGACTCTTTTCCTGTGACTTGATGCCCTACTTCTTTTATCTTTTATTTCCATTCACCTTCTTCCACACTTGTATCCACATGAGAACTGCTCTCATTGTGCCCGACTCACAAGAAACATGCAATAAATGTTAATTATTCTTATTATTACTATTATTATCATGTTTATGTCTAAAAAGATTGAAGCTCAATTTCACCTATCAGTAGATAAACATTTCTAACAAAAGTTCTATAAACTGACAGCTAATCTTGATCATAAACATCTATTCCATTTTATTAGGGTTACAGATAAGAAACTTTAGGCATAGAATTAATTACTAAAGTGACCAGACCAAGGTCAAACAGCTAACTGTTTTATTATGATACAGTTCTCTCGAGAAGTATAACACAGAATAAAGAGTATAAGCTTTGGAGTAACAAACGAATGTGTTTAAAACCCAGATCAAATGCTTCTGAATTTTATAAACTTAACTACATTTAAGCTTCAATTCTCTTGTCTTTGAAATATTTATAATTAGAGGTTAGTAGGAATTTATAGGTAAAATATTTAGCATAATAAATTATACATAGTCTGCATTCAATTATACTTTGTTTTCCTCTTATTAATCAATAATGTTTTCTTTATGATCTTTGCTAGCCTGAATATTCTAGAATTTAAAGTTTAAAATTCTGAATAAGATGTTGTAGATCACTCATCCAGGTATATGAATTTTAAATGTTATTATAAATAAAATATACCCTATTTACATAGTATCAGGATCCTAAGAATTGAGCATTCAGAGAACTGAAAAGGTATGGCTATATAAATAAGAGTTTAACGCTTGAATATGCAAAGCTGTAATATGTAAAATTTACATATGAGAACTTCTTAAAGTTTGTGTCAATATATTTTGATTTTTAATTTTTAACTATTAATACAAATAATTGCTCTACTTTGTGCTGTTGAGTAACCCCTATTTCCTGATAGATTTTTATCTCTTATACAAATCTCATTGATTCTTGGTAGTTGACTCAAAAAAATTTGTTAGTAAGGACTTTGAAGTGAAGTTGGGGCAAAGTATAAAAGAAAGTCATGTTCACTTAATGGGTGCAAGAGAGAGTATTGGTATAAGTTTTATGATTTGCCCTTCTTAGCTAATAAAATATTGCAATAATATATTTATTACAATCTATTTTCTGTCCATTAATCAAATATTATTGTCTGAAGTCATATTTGTAGCCATTTGTCCAGGTATTTATTTTTGAAGTGATAAAAAAATCATTCATTTCAGACTTTTATCTGAAATTATAAGGCATGGTGGAAGGGAACTTATATGTATTGAGTGTCTATGTAGATTCTTACTTATATACTATTTAATTAATTCCTCAATAAATCCAATTAAGGAAGTATTATTTTACCCTTTACATAGGGGAGAACAGATTCTGACATATTAATTTCCCCCAGATTTTTGATAACTAAGTGGAAGAAGCAGAATTCAAACTCAGTTTGTCTGATGAGAAGCTGGTGCCTTTCCCACTCTGTAGCTCTCTGCAGCATGTGAATAGGTACTAAAATATTTGCCATATATTAAGTAATGACTTAGATGAAAGTTATGCAATGGGTTTGTTCAATAATGAATACATTCATTAACTCAATACATATTCACAGTATTTTTTTTGCCCTGAATTCCTAACTAGCATATCTCAGTGACTAATTGAGATCTTGGGGTGTCTAATAATTTCTGTGCCATGTCCAAAACTCAACTCCTCCTGCCTACCTCCCCGAAACCCCCAGCAACTTCTCTAGTCTTTCCTGCCTCAATAAATTGAAATTCCACCCTTCCAGTTGTTCAAGTCAAACAATTGGATTCATAATTAAGTTCTCTCTTTTACTCATATCTCAGCCAGAAAATACAATCAGAAGGTGCAGTGGCACTAGTCATAGTTCATGGAATTCCTGGGCTCAGGAGATCCTCCTGCCTCAGCCTATCCAGTAGTTGGAATTATAGGCATCAGGCACTGCACCTGGCCCAGAGAATCTTTTTAGTTATTCTACAAAAATACATTCTGTATCCTCCATGTTGTCCCTCCTTCACCACTACAATCCTGATGTAGGCCACCACCACCTTTGGTTTGGTTCACCCCAGTGGATACCTACAGCTTCTTGTTCCACTTCCTCTACAAGAATAGATCTCCAACCGTCTATGCTCAATCCAGCAGTTGGAAAGGGTATCGTAAGGGATGGGCATGGTGGCCTGTGATCCTAGCACTTTGGGAGACCAAAAAGGGAGGATTACTCGAGGCCAAGAGTTCAAGCTCAGCCTGGGCAACAGAGTGAGATCCCATCTCGCAAAGAAATGCAACAAAAACCATTAGCCAGGTGGATAATTTATAGTAGCTGGAGCCTGTTATCCCAGCTACTCGGGAAGCTGAGTTGGGGACTCAGAGGAGCCCCGGAGTTTGAGGTTATGATGGCCCATGGTCACACCACGACACTTCAGCGTGGGCAAAAGTGCAAGATCCTGTCTCAAAAAAAAAAGTATAATGAAAGTACTATAAAAATCAAGTCAGGTCAGATTCTTTTACACGCATGTCCTAGACTCTCTAGTGACTTCCCATTTCAATCAGAATTAAAGTCCTCACCACTGCTTACAAATTTACAAATGTTTGGTTCTTGACTAAGTCTCCAACCTTATGTCCTTAGTCTGTGCCCTCATTTATCCCACTCCAACCACACTAGCTACAGTTTCTCAGGCACTTCAAACTTGCCAGGTATCACGGCTGTTGCTCTTTCTGTCTGGAATGCATTTCCCTCTGGTATCTGCATGACATTTCCACCTGTTTCATGCTTGTGCTCAAAAACCACCATTTCAGAAAGCCCTGCTCCAGCCTCCTTCCTTACCTCGCCTTAGTTTCCACACAGCACTTATCTGACAAATACACTGTTGATCCTTATTATTCACAGATTCCATATTACCAAGTTTGCCTACTTGCTAGATTTTATTTGTAACCCCCGAGTCAATACTTGTGGTGCTTTTGCAGTCCTTCACAGACGCGTGCAGAGTGGCAAAAATTTGCGTCACTCAACAGGCACATTCCCAGCTGAGGTTGAACGAGGCGATGCTCGGGCTTTTTGTCTCGGCTCCCAAGGGTCCTTTTTGTGGTCTTGACAGTGCCATGTTTTTCACATTTGGGAATCTTTTTTGGTGATTTTGCTGTTTAGAATGGCCCGCAAACACAGTGCTGACATGCTATCTAGTGATCCTAAGCCCCAGAAGGCTGTGACCTCCCTTGAGGAGAAAATCTATGTGTTAAGTTTGTTCAGGGATGAGTTATAGTGCTGTTAGCCATGGGTTCAATGTTAATAAGTCAACAATATATATTAAATACGGTGTCTTTAAACAGAAACATATATAAACAAGATTTATATTGAGAGGTTGACAAAAATGTAACTAGAGGCTCACAGGAAATTAAACCTGTATTTACCTTAGGAGCAATAGTTCAATAGTTGCTAATTTAGTGTTTGCAGCAACTTTGTAGCACTTAACAACCATAAATAATGAGAATTGACCCTAATTTTGTTTACTATGTATTGTTTATAATACATAGACATTACACTAGCTTACATTAACATTAAATTACATACATTATATACACATCTAGCTTACACTAGAATGTAAGCCCTATGTTTTGTTCATTGCTATATTCCCAGTTTTAAGAAATAATAGGAGCTCAATGAATATTTGGTTCATACATAAATGAATGTGTGAAGCAATTATTTTGAATGATGAATTAATAAGTAATGAATTATTAAATGTGAGTAAGTAAAATGTCTAAATGTAAAAATAAAGATAACATGAATAATGAGTGAATAAATAAACCAATCATGGACTATGCACCACTCCAATATTAATGCTGGAATCATAGGATTAAAAGATAAGATATGAGCTTTAATCTTGAGACTTTCATAATTAAGATAGCTAAACTGTTTGAGAAAACAAGTCACTCTTCTCTTTCCAATCTAGCAGGTGAATTTCATACCATTTAAAAGACTGCATGTTGATTCTATCTGTGAATCTACCTAAGACAATAGACAAGGTTTTCTTTAACATCTGCATTTAGTACTAGAACATGAAGTTTAATTTAGAATGTTTAACCATTTTCCTTATGACCCATTACTGTTATAAATGTGGTAAGGTGTAAGACCACTTAGTCAATATCATATTGATGCTTATTAGCTGTGTGATTTTAAGCAAGTGACTTAACTTCTTTGTGTTTCAGTTTTCTTACCTGTTAAATGGGGAACACGATAGCATATCACTTACAATATTCAATTAACATCTATAAACCGCTTAAAATAACTGTCATGTATTAATGACGAGAATTCGTTCTAAAAGAAAAAAGCCATACATTTCTGAAATTTAAGGTAAGAAAAAAGATAAACGGAAGTACATATTAAGTAGAAGATATATGGAACTGCAGTTCATTTCCTGGAATGTTTCAGGACAGCCCACTGTATAGATTTTGCTACTTGGGTTTCTTTTTTTTTTTTTTGTATTTAATTTAGAATAAGTTTTATTAGAACTTCATAATTTTTTATCAACATATGCAAATGTGCTCAGATGTTCCATTTCAGTAGTTACATTATTATATGTAAATTGAGAATGATTACTATGAATATCCATTTTCTTTCAAAACCTATCAGCATGAATTTTACATTTTTAAGCAAAAATGAATTATGCAAATATATTAACTCTTGAGGTACTATCCATTCCTGTAATTTTCCTTTCAAATATATTTAATGTTATAATAAGGAGTTCTTAGTAGTTTAAATGTGTTTCTGTTTTGCTTTGTTCTTGTTACACTTCAGTAGAAGGAAGACAGTGGGAATCTCTAGACCTCTCTCATCCCCTGTGTAGTGAAAGGTACACTGCCTTAGCTTGAGCTGTGTGATAGTGGAAAATCTTCAACATTTTCCTCTGCTCTCACACCACAGCAATCAACACAGAAGACTTTGTGACCAAATATGTGAGGGGTTTTCCCCACACCCCAAACAGCAGACACCAGCTGGGCATCCTCCAATTCATTTCAATTCAATTCTCATGATATCTACCTGGAGACAGCTTCAGATCCCACCAGTTGAGGGCTCAGTCTCCAAGACTGCCCCCTCCTGCCCACCAGCCGCAAGTGCAGACCTTGGGAACTTCTGACCCACTGGCTTCCAGTTGGGGTCTCCACAACCCCTTCTTTGGGTGCAATTAATCCTGCTAGGGCTGCTCACAGAACTCGGGGAAACACTACATTTGCTGGTGTAATGCAAAGGTTATTTTGAAGGATATACCTAAACAGCCAGATGAAAAGATACAGAGAGCTAGGACTGGAGTGGTCTGGAGCACAGGAGCTTCTGTCCCTGTGAAGTTAGGCTTCACCACCCTTCTGATACGTGGATGTGTTCTTCTTCACCTTCTTATCAGCTTCCACATATTCAGCTATCTGGAACCTCTTGAAATCCAGTCCTTTTGTGTTTTACATGGTTCTTTATGACTGATTAAATCATTGCCCGCTGGTAATCAACTTAATCCTCAACCCCTTTCTGCTACCCGGAGGTTGAGGATGAGGCTGAAAGCCCCAGCCCTCTAATCCTGCCTTTGTCTTTGTCTTTGGCGTGACCAGCTCCATCCTGAAGCTACCTAGGGGCTGCCAGCCACAGTCCACTCATTAGCACACAAAAACCATCACTTTGAAGATTCCAAAGATCTTAGGTGTTGTATGCCAGGAAACGGGAATGAAGACCAAACACGTATTTCACAATATCACACATCACTATAACAAAATACCACAGACTCTGTGGCTTAAACAATAACGATTTATTTCTCACAGTTCTGGCTGCTGGGAAGTTCGGGATCAAGGTGCTTGCGGATTCAGTAACTGGCGAGAGCCTCCTATCTCATTTGCAGACAGCCACCTTCTTGTTGTATCTCCTTACATGGTGGAGAGAGAGAGCATCTCCGAGTGCTTCTTCTTCTTCTTCTTCTTCTTCTTCCTCTTCCTCGTCTTCTTCTCCTTCTCCTTCTCCTTCTCCTTTTTCATTTCTTTATTTATTTCTTTTTTTTTTTTTTTTGAGACAGAGTCTCACTCTGTCGCCCAGGCCGGAGTGCAGCAGCATGATCTTGGCTCGGCTCACTGCAGCCTCTGCCTCCTGGATTCAAGCTATTCTTGTGCCTCAGCCTCCTGAGTACCTGGAGTTACAGGCACATGCCACGACACCCAGCTAATTTTTGTATTTAGTAGAGATGGGATTTCATCACGTTGCTCAGGCTGATCTCGAACTCCTGACCTCAAGTGATCCACCTGCCTCGGCCTCCCAAAGAGTCAGGACCACAGGCGTGAGCCACTTCGTCTGGCCCCGAGTGTTTTTCATTATGAGAGCACTAATACAATTTATGAGGACTCCACCACCCTTATAACCTCCCAAAGACCACACCTTCAATGCTATCACATTGGGAATTAGAACTCCAACTATGGACTATGCACCACTAGAGTTTGGGGAAAACATAAGCATTTTTCCCCAAATGCTTCATTTGTACATTTGTATACAATACAAGTGTATTGTATTACAGTGTACAGCATGTGCTCTGATGATGTAAGTTAGATTTCTACGATGTTTCCTAAAAATCCTCTCATTCACCAGCCTTTCTTACATGATACAGTTTCATAACTGAGGTTTTTTACAGACTTCTGATTATTTCTTTCCATTTTTCTCCCATAGAAACTTCCCCTGTTAAAAACTATTTACTTAAAAAAATCAATTATAGCATTTGTTTAAGCCTCCTTTCCTGTCTATTTCAGTAATGTTTGCAGATAGTAAAAAGAAACCATGTTCTAATTATTGAGGGTAAGAGTCTCAACACTTACTTCCAGATGATATTATTTATGAAAACTGCACATATTGAAGTAAAATCAATCTGGTATATATGTTTAAAAACTCTCTCTTGAGGGGGGCTACAGTCAATAATAGTTGTACATTTTAAAATAACTTACAGAGTGTCATTGGATTGTTTGTAACTCAAAGGATAAATGCTTGAGGGGATGGATACCCCATTCTCCACTATGTGCTTATTTTGTATTGCATGTCTGTATCAAAACAACTTTTGTATCAAAACAACTCATGTACCCCATTAATATGTACACCTACTATACACCCACAAAATATTAAAAAATAAAATAAAATTATTGGGGGGAAAACACTCTCTTGGATTTATTCTACAAAATTGAAGGTGTATCTTCACATGTCTACTGACGATAGATTTCCAATATTCTAACTTTGCCCACTATAGTTTTTCTTCTTCCTAATACTCTTATTTTTTGATCTTTTGTGTGTGTGTGTGTGTGTGTGTGTGTGTGTGTATGTGTGCTTGTATTGTGTGTGTGTTTAATGGGGGAAGGCAGTAGTGGTAATGGTAGTATAGCAATTATTCTAATTCGAGGTCTTCTTTCTTTATTCTTGGTACCAGATTTTTAAAGTGTATGTTAGGTAGAACTTGTTTGTAAAGCTATTTGGAGCCAGTGCCATTTTTGAAGACATGAGAGCAGCTATTTTCAACACAGATTCAATTAATTTAACAACTATTGTTCTATTCGGGCTTCTGCTATTTATAAATCTTTTTTGGCAATGTATTTTCTTTTCTAAAATACAGAACATTTCAACAAAGACTCAACTTTATCATCATAACATGGTTTTTGGTATTTTTATTTAATTTCTAATTAATTGCTGCATTTCCATTCCTCACATTGTTTGTTTGAGCTTTTTATTTTACTTCCCCACCAGCTCTTGACCAGATTTGCTAGGAAGTTTCTATCTTTTTCTTATTTTCAAGTCATCATATTTTTATAACTATTCCATTAATTTCTGCTCTATTTTTTTTGCTTTCTTTTACTTTATTGAGTATGTTTCAGTGTTTTATACCTACTTTTTTGAGTTCAGTGCCCTAGCTCTCAACCTGGCTTTGTTTTGCTATAGCAATATGTAATATATTTCCACACATATCATAATAGTCTTTCATTCACAAGTATTTAAATATTTCCATTATGTATTTTCTCTTTAATACTTTAATATTGAAACGCATGCTTTTGAATTCCCCAGTATATGTTTCTTTTGATAGTTTTTTAATTATTTCTAATTCTTTTGGATTGTAATATGAGAACATGGTTTATAGATGATCATTTTCCTATGGCCTAGCATGTGCTTAGTTTTCTTTTAATCCATATGTGATTGAAATGAGTATATTTACTTACTTCTGGGAGTGTGAGTGAGAGGTTGGGTAATGTTATTTAGAATAAGCTAGCTCATTGTATTATTTAAAACTTCTGTTGTTATCCTTTCCTTTATCTCTTTGATGCATCAGTTTCTGAAAGAGATATGGTAAAATTTCCCACCATGATTATAGATTTTTAAATTTCACTTTGCAAGCCTGTCCAATTTTCCTTTAAATAAATTAACATACATATGATATTAAATGTATGCATGTTAATGATTGTCATAATTTTCGAATCACTATTTTTATTAAGTATAGACTTATTTTCCCTAATGTTTTTTGCCTTAAATAAAATGTGTTAAATATTAAAATAACTGAACCAGATTTCTTTAGTAAATTTTTGGCATTTTCTTACTTACGGACATTGAGTGATATATGCTTTTAGGAGTGACTTTTGCAAACTGGATTTGACTGAATTTTAATTTTCAAATGAATATTGACATGGTTTGGCTCTACGTCCCCACCCAAATCTCATCTTGTAGCTCTCATAATTCCCACATGTTCTGGGAGGGACTCAGTGGGAGAGAAGTGAATCATGTGGGCAGGTCTTTCCTGTGCTGTTCTTGTGATAGTGAATAAGTCTCATGAGATCTGATGGTTGTAAAAATGGGAGTTTCCCTGCACAAGCTCTCTCTTTGCCACCACCATCCATGTAAGATGTGACTTTCTCCTCCTTGCCTTCTGCCATGATTGAGAGTCCTCCCCAGCCATATGGAACTGTAAGTCCATTAAACCTCTTTCTTTACTAAATTGCCTAGTCTCAGATATGTCTTTATCAGCAACATGAAAACGGGCTAATACAGTAAACTGGTAGCAATAGAGTGGGGCATTGCTGAAAAGATACCTGAAAATATGGAAGCAACTTTGGAACTGAGTAACAGGCAGAGGTTGGAACAGTGTGGAGGGCTCAGAAGAAGATAAGAAAATGTGAAAAAGTTTGGAACTTCTTAGAGACTTGTTGAATAGCTTTAACAAAAATGCTGATAGTGATATAAACAATAAGGTCCAGGCTGAAGTGATCTCAGATAGAGATGAGGAACTTGTTTGGAACTGGAGGAAAGGTGACTCCTGTTATGTTTTAGCAGAAAGACTAGTGGCATTTTGCCCCTGCCCTAGAGATCTGTGACACTTTAATTTGAGTGAGATGATTATCTGGTGGAAGAAATTTCTAAGCAGCAATGCATTCAAAAGGCATTCAGTTTTACAAGAGAAGCAGAGCATAAAAGTTTGGAAAATTCGAGCCTGACAACGCCATCCCCTTTGGGAAGCCAAGGCAGGCAGATTGCCTGAGCTCAGGAGTTTGAGACCAGCCTGGGAAACACAGTGAAACCCGGTCTCTACTAAAACACAAAATATTAGCCGGGTGGGGTGGTGTGCACCTGTAATCCCAGCTACTCAGGAGACTGAGGTAGGAAAATTGCTTGAACCCAGGAGGAGGAGGTTGCAGTGAGCCTAGATTGTGCCACTGCATTCCAGCCTGGGTGACAGAGTGAGACTCCATCTCAAAAAAAAAAAAAAATGAATCCCATTTTCTGAGAAGAAATTAAAGATGGCTGCAGAAATTTGCACTGGTAATGAGGAGCCAAGTGTTAATCCCCAAAACAATGAAGAAAATGTCTCCAGGGTATGTCAGAGGTCTTCTTGGCAGCCTCTCTCATCACAAACCCAGAGGTCTAGGAGGAAAAAGTGGTTTTGTGGGTCATGACTAGAGTCCTTGTGCTGTGTGTAGTCTAGGAACATGGTGTCCTGCATCCCAGCCACTCCAGCTTTGACTAAAAAGAGCCAAGGTACAGCTCAGGCTGTAGCTTCAGAGGGTGTAAGCCCCAAGCCTTGGCAACTTCCACGTGGTATTGAGTCTGTAGGTACACAGAAGTCAAGAACTGAGGTTTAGGAATCTCCACCTAGATTTCAGAGGATGTATGGAAACACCTGGATGTCCAGGCAGAAGTTTGCTCCAGTGGTGGGACTCCCATGGAGAACCTCTGCTAGGGCAGTGGGGAAGGGAAATGTGGGGTTGGAACCCCCACACAGAGTCCCTACTGGGGTACCACCTACTGGAGCTGTGAAAAGAGGGCCACCATCCTCCAGACTCCAGCGTGGTAGATCCACTGACAGCTTTTTGCACTGTGTGTAAAGCCACAGACACTCAAAACCAGCCCATGAAAGCAGCTGGAGGGAGGCTGTACCCTGCAAAGCCACAGGGGCAGAGCTGGCCAAGATCATGGGAACCCACCTCTTGGGTCAGAACGATCTGGATGCGAGACATGGACTCAAAGGAGATCATTTTGGAGGTTTAAGATTTGACTGCCCTGCTGGATTTTGGACTTCCATGGGGCCTGTAGCCCCTTTGCTTTGGCCAGTTTCTCTCATATGGAATAGCTATATTTACCCAATGCCTACCCCAATTGTATCTAGGAAATAACTAACTTGCTTTTGATTTTACAGGCTCACAGGTGGAAGGGACTTGCCTTGTCTCAGAAGAGACATCGGACTGTGGACTTTTGAGTTAATGCTGAAATGAGTTAAGACTTTGTGGGACTGTTGGGAAGGCATGATTGGTTTTGAAATGTGAGGACATGGGATTTGCGAGGGGCCAGAGGTGAGATAATATGATTTGGCTGTGTCCCCACCCAAATCTCATCTTGAATTGTAACTCCCACAATTTCCACGTGTTGTGGGAGGAGCCCAGTGGGAGGTGATTGAATTATGGGGGCAGGTCTTTCCTGTGCTGTTCTTGTGATAGCGAATAAATCTCCCAAGATCTGATGGTATTATAAGGGGGAGTTTCCCTGCACGAACAGTTTGTTTACCTGCTGCCATCCAGGTAATACATGACTTACTCTTTCTTGCCTTCCGCCATGATTGTGAAACCTCCCCATCCATGTGGAACTGTAAGTCCATTAAACTTCTTTCTTTTGTATATTGCCCAGTCTTGGGTATGTCTCTTTGAGCAGCATGAAAACAGACTAATACAAATATGTTTCTTCATTTTTTTTTTGACAGGGTCTTACTCTGTAACCCAGGCTGGAATACAGTGGTGTGATCTTGGTTCACTGCAGCCTCCACTCAAATGAATATCTTTCAATGAACAAGTTTAGTCTATTTATATTTATTGTGATTTCTGATGTATTTAGACTTTTTTCTACCACGTTACTTTGTTTTTGCCTTATTGTAAAAGGTTCATGCTTCTTTCTGAATTCCTGTTTACTAAGTTAAGAAAATTTTTTAATTTCTTCTTCTCCCCTATTTGTTTATAAATCTTAGATAGTATTTTTTTGTTAAACATTTTCTGTATACAATTATTAACTTAATGTTTAAATTTAATTAGTACTTCTAATATCCTCTGATTTTTTTTCAAAGCCTTTGAAACTTTTAAGTCTTATCTCTTAACTTTTCAATTTTGATATATTGCTATTATTTTATTTCCATCTGTTTTTTACTTATCCAAGTTTTTTAAAATTTGTTTTTGTTAACAAACAATGCTTATTTAGGCTAAAAACATGTTTATACAAGTTTTTAGCTGTTAGTCCATCTTCAAGTCATTTCTGCCTCCTAGCATCAATTTCCTTCTTATTGAAGTATATCCTTTACTATTTCTTTCAGCCTGTATCAAAACTAATATACGGCTATCTATTGCTGTGACAAACTATCCCAAAACTTAGTGACTAAAACAACTACCATTCCATTCTGTCTCATATATTATGGCTAAGAATTTCTGGCAGAGGTTGTCTAGCTGATTCTGCTGTTCTGTACGGTATTGACTGAATGAATCACTTGGTACTATCCAGCTTGAAGCTGACCTTTCTTGAAAGTTCCAAGATAGCTTTACTCACAAGGCTGGCACTTTGCCAGGTACAACATGAAGTCTAAGCTAAGCTGGCCCCTTCTATTTCCAAGGTTTGTTCATTTGCCCTTTCCAGCTTGATGGTCAGGCTTCTTACATTGTGACTTGGGGCCTTAAAAAATGAGTCAAAACAAAGTCAAAAAAAAAAAAAACAAGAAAGGGCAAAAGGACTCCCTAATCAATAAATGGTGCTGGGATACCTGGCCAGCCATATGCAGAAAATGGAAACTGGACCCACTCCTTATGCCATGTACAAAAATCAACTCAAGATAGATTAAAGCCTCAAATGTAAAACCTAAAGCTATAAAAACCCTGGAAGATAACTTAGGAAATACCATTATGGACATAGGCCCTGGCAAAGAATTCATGAGAAAGGTGCCAAAAGCAATTGCAACAAAAACGAAATTAACGGCCGGGCGCGGTGGCTCACGCCTGTAATCCCAGCACTTTGGGAGGCCGAGACGGGCGGATCACGAGGTCAGGAGATCGAGACCATCCCGGCTAACACGGTGAAACCCCGTCTCTACTAAAAATACAAAAAAATTATCCGGGCTTGGTGGCGGGCGCCTGTAGTCCCAGCTACACGGGAGGCTGAGGCAGGAGAATGGCGTGAACCCGGGAGGCGGAGCTTGCAGTGAGTCGAGATCGCGCCACTGCACTCCAGCCTGGGCGACAGAGCGAAACTCCGTCTCAAAAAAAAAAAAAAAAAAACGAAATTAACAAATGAGACCTAATTAAACTGAAGAGCTTCTGCAAAGCAAAAGAAACTATCAACAAAGCATCCTATGGAATCAAGCAAAATATTTGCAAACTATGCATCTGACAAAGGTCTAATATCCAGAATCTATAATAAACAGATTTACAAGAAAAAAAAAACATTAAAAAGTGGGCAAAGGAAATGAAAAGACACTTTTCAAAAGAACAAATACATGCAACCAACAAATATATAAAAAATGCTCATCACCACTAATCATTAGAGAAATACAAATCCAAAACACAACGGGATACCATCTCACACCAGTCAGAATGGCTGTTACTAAAACGAAAAAAATAACAGATGCTGGCGAGGTTGTGGTGAAAAGGAAATGCTTATACACTGTTGTTGGGAATTTAAATTAGTTCGGCCACTGTGGAAACCAGGTTGGTGATTTCCCAAAGAAATTAAAACAGAATTACCATTCAACCCAGCAATCTCATTACTGGGTACATACCCAAAGTATTATATATCTTTCTACTATAAAGACACTTGCATGTGTGTGTTAATTATGGCACTATTTATGATAGAAAAAACATGGAATCGACCTAAATGCCCATCAACAGTAGACTAGATAATGAAAATGTTTTATATATATATATATATACACACACACACATATATAACATTTTTATTATATAGACACACATATATTATATATATATACACACACACACACACATATATATATATACACATATATACACCATTGAATACTATGCAGCCATAGAAAAGAATGAGATATGTCCTTTGCAGCTACATGGATGGAGCCAGAGGCCATTATCCTTAGCAAACTAATGCAGAAACAGAAAACCAAATACTGCATGATCTCACTTATAAGTAGAAGCTAATCATTGAGTACACATGGGTACAAAGAACAGAACAACTGACATCAGGGCCTACTTGAGGGTAGAGGGTGGGAGGAGGCTGAAGATCGAAAAATGACCTATCAAGTGCTTATCATCTGGGTAATGAAATCATCAGTACCCCAAATCCCTGTGACACACAACTTACCTATATAACAAACCTGCTCATGTACCCGTGAACCTACAAGTTAAAAAAAAAAAAAGCCAAAAGCTGAAAATCTTTCTAAATTATACGTTCAGAACTATCACTGAGCCCCTTCTACCATATTCTATTAGGCAAGCAGTCACAGGGCAGTCCAGATTCAAAGGGGTGGAAGAATGGACTCCATCTCTTGATGGGGAAATGGCCCAGGTAAACAGAAAGAGAAGAAATGACAGGACCATTATACAGACAGTCTCCACAACCAGAAAACTCTCTTAGTTTTATTAGAAATTATTTTATTTTGTCCTCACTCTTGAAATAATTACTTATTTATATATAGTACTTTAGGTTGATCCTTATTTTTCATCAGTAGTTTCAAGATACCCTTTCATTCCATTGCCTTCAGTGCTTTATTTTGGATAATGAAAAGTATGTTGTCAGACTACTTTCTATTCCTTTTAGGAAGTTACTCATGTTTTGTCTTACAGATTAATAACTTTCTCTTTTTCATTGAGGATCTTCTATTTTTATGGTATGTTTAGGTATAGATTGCTTTTTCCTTACCTTGCTTAGGAGTCAAGGAGCCATTTTTATCTGAGAATTCTAATTCTATGAAATAATTTGGCATACCTATGGGAAAATACTATTCCCTTATTCTCTGAATTTTGTTCTTTGGAAATTCTCATGAATGTATGCTGGACCTTCTCATTCTATCTTCTATTTTAGCTGCTTCCTCTTTGTATTCTCCATCCATTTATTTCAATGAATTATTTAACTTGATTTCTACAGATTTTTCTACAATGCACTGATTCTCTCTTCAGCTATGTCGACTTTGCTGTTTAATTCACCTAATATGATTTTTTTTCAATGCTTTTATTTTCTTTTCTAGAATTTGTTTAGCTTCTTTTTATAATTTGATTGTACATTTTTTCATACATTATTCTTGTTTTACAGTTTAGTTTACGCTTTTAAACATCTTAAAGATTTTTACAATCTTTTTCAAATTATCCCATTATATGAAGTTTTTCCAGTGTTGTCTGGTTTAGTAAATCATTGACTTTTGTTTACAGTACATTCAAAAAGAATTATTAAATTTTTCTACCACCAGGTCTCTGATGGTTTTATTATTTTCATGCAAGTTTTCCTCATAATCTTGGCTTGAGGTCCTAAAACAAGTGGCAATGTGAATTTAGCCCACACTCATGTTGGGACCTGATTGTACAGTTGCGGGCTGCTTCCCCAAGTTGAACATCAGAACTTTTGTCATCCCTGTTTTATAAATGAATCAGTTCTTTGAGGCTTTTGGCTGTTTGGAAGGGTTCTCATTTCCAGAGAATCACATTCAGCAGTTCTGAGACCTTGTGTTCCTTCAGGCATATTAAAATTAAACTCCCTAACCATCAAGGATTATATAGAAAGAGTGAAACTCCCCAAATCATTGGGATTTCGTATATATGCCTCTCTTTGTTGAGTCTCTACTTTTTAAAAAATAACACCATGATATTAACTTTTATTCCTATTGAATGTGTGTGTGTGTATGCATGTACTTGTGTTTATAATTTATTGTATGTTTGGAATGGGAAGGGGTTGGTTCATTTGAGTTGAGACTGTTATATTTACTCAATCTTCACTAACTTTTGTTTCCATTCTTAACCATCTGGTAGGAGGGGAGATAGAAAATACCTTTTCTTCCTCTTTAATATGTAATTCAGCTCAAAAATTTATAAATCTCGTATATAAAATATTTAATCATAATCTAAATTAAAAAATGAATCTGTTAAAACTTCTGAAAGGAAATTATAAGTGATATAAAGGTGTACATCAAATGTTTGAAATTTGTTGATTAGAAAATTCTGGGGAGAATGACCCCTCATATTTTGCACAATTCAATAACCTGTTACATGGAGAGTCTTCTGATTTAAGGGAGGTATCTTAAGTTACAATCAAGGACGGGAGTATTATTTTTTAACATACAGTTGACTCTTGAACAACACAGACTTGCACTGCCCAGGCCACTTATTCACTCATTTTGTTTAACAAATAGTTGCCCTCCCTATCCTCAAGTTCTGCATCTGTAATCAAAAAAGACTGAAAATCTATTAGTGGGATGATAAGCTCGCAGATACGAAGGGCTGACTTTTCCGATACTGGGTTCTGCAGGGCTGACTGTGGGACTGGACTATGTGTGGATTTTGGTGTCTGCAGGGGGCCTGGGACAAATCCCTTGCAGATACCAAGGGGTGACTATATTTGGAAAAGAAATCCCAGCTAAGGGTATAGATTTCTCATTTTCCTGAATCCACTTGCATCCCTTTAATTTGCCTACCGTCCCCCTCCAACCCACTCCAAGCAGTATCGCCAAAGCTCATGGCCAGTAGTCAGTATCTATTCACCTCCACTTCACACATTAGAGAGTAAAATCCACAACCACTTTGAAATTTAAAAAGGCACAACCTAATAACATAAACTTGTTTCCCGTCCCATTTATTCACCTCTAATGAGAATGCCAGTCAGATTTTAACTTTTTGTTTTGTAGAGGAAGATATCATTTTTAGATTTAGCCATTATAATCTATTTTTTTCAAAGGAGAAAGTGTCAGAGTAGGGGGAACAAGGAGAGTCAAGGAAAAAAATATTCCTTAAGATATATTTCCTATACTGACTCTTTCTGTAATACAAGATTAACAAATGTATACATTTTTAAAACTGTGTGGAGGGACAGCAGAAAGTTCCTTTATTTATATCTGTGGTTCCTGATGTTGCCCTGATCAGAATATCTATCAAAAATATCAGGCCAATATCAAAATCAGAGAAAATAGCTGCCTTTAATGGAGACTTTGGTGTTTAATCCTTTGAAGCACATGGGAAGCAAAGATATGCTATATGCAAAGTAAAATCCTCTGCTGTCTTTGAAAGTACCAAAGGAAACTTTTAAGTGCACTTCCCATTTCATCTTTAGAGACAAAATGTCTAGTAGGCAGGCTTATAGATGTCCACGGGTTTTCTCCACCATTTCAGTGTTTTCGAAATGAACAACAAAAACAGTTATCTTTGTAAAAAGTCAACTAGCACTTTCAACTACCTTTATGTTATATACATATTTTAAATATCTGAGTTGACAACTATTATTCTCTAAAATGTAGGCTTATACTTAGGTATGCATCTTTAAAACCACAATGCCTATATTATATGCATAAAATCTACAGCAGATTACAAAAACTGGCTCAATTAATTATAACTTGCATCCTCACATAGGTATGGATTAATATGTCATTAATGAAAATGTTTAAACGTATTAAATCTTTTCTTATTGTCATAAACTCTAAAAAGAGTTTCTTTGAAACCTACATTTTAAACAGAAATGTTTACATTCAACAGATAAAGCAGAAAATGTTTATATGAAACATATACAACACACTATTCTGAGATTTATTTTTTGAAATTTGGAAAAGTTACAAAATGATATTAAAAAGACAAAATTAGGTTCTCCTAGAAAAATCTTACGAATAATCTTTTTTCTTCAAATTCAAGAAACACAGTTCTTTAAAAAATGTATGAAGCTATCTATGTGGACCATGGCAGAAAGGGACAGACAGCAGGTACCTTGAGACAAGGACCATAAGGCTGATTTAATCAGCTCTTTAAAAATGACTTTCCGAGCCTGGGCAACATAGGGAGACCCCGTCTCTCTCTATATATATATATTTTTTTTCAATTAGCCATGCGTGATGGTACATGTCTGTGGTACCAGCTACTTGGGAGGCTGAGGTGAGAAGACCGCTTGGGCCTGGGAGGTTGTGGCTTCAGTGAGCTGTGATCATGCCACTGCACTCCAGCCTGGATGACAGAGTAAGACCCTATCTCAAAAAAATTATTAAATGGAAAAATAAAATAAAATACAAAAATAGGCTTTTCCAAGCTAAAAAGGCAGCATTGGCAGAAACACAAAAGCATCTATTTTTATCAATTGGTTATTGTATAGTTATAAAAATGGATGTGGTAAACAAACAAAATTCCATTCTCCTGATTTCTACCAATGTTCAGTGTTTAACAGTCAAGAAGAATACGCTTATCTCTCAATTCTTCTCATAAAGATTAAAGAATGCTCTGCCTACATGATGCTTCCTTTATTGGAGTGATTCTTAGACACTGGCCAGTGTCACAATTAGCTGGAGGGCTTGTGAAAACCCAGATTGCTGAGCACCCGACCAGAGTTTCTGATTCCATAGATCTGGGATGAGGCCAACAATTAGCATTTCTAACAAGACCTGACATGTGGCTGACATTGCTGGTACCGGGTCCATAGATTGAGAATCACTGAATTAACGGATTTTACACACACAGAGGAGCTATAGCTTTTTAAACTTGTCAAAAACACCAGTCATTAAAGTTTTTAAATTATTAAGGTCTGTGCCATTAGATGTATCAAAAGAAGCAGTAATCTGAGTTCTAATTCCTTTTGGAATCTCCAGAGGAGATTTCAGAGCCAAGTGGAATGAATTAAATTGATAGAAATTATAATCAATATAATACTTAGACCATAATAGGTTCTACATTGATCCAAATGACTAAATCTAACCTAATCTTTCTTTCTGAATTTATCTTTATCTGCAGATATTTCCTCAGTGAATAGAGAGAAAACCTGGTGTAAAAATACATTATTTACTCAAAAGTTATATCTTAATTGCCCTCTAAAGTTGGCTCAATATTTCCAGATGATATCTTAAGATAATTCGTTTCAGAAAAAAGCAAAGTATAAATAAATTATAAATAAATTGTATTCTCAGTTCTTCACCTAATGTCTACTTTCACTCCCTAAGCAACTTATTAGAAGCTATTTGTGAAATATGTAGTCTTTGATAACTTTGTTTCAGTGTTCCTGAACTCTTAGAGACAGCATCAGAAGAGTGAGCCCTTGCATGGGGAAATGACAGGAAGGGCAATGTGCCGAGAGGCACAAGATGCATTTTCTGTGTTGTGTTTGACATTTGTCAGCATTGTCTGGTCTTGCAAAACACTTTTAACCTCCAGCTGAACTCAGTTTCTTTATTTTTAAAATGGCAGTAATAATTCCTTTCTATTACTGGATTGTTGAGAAAAATAAATTAGGAAGAGTCTTATTTTCTTATAAATAGAATTAAACGCAACTGAACATATTCAGTGCTTTAAAAGAGTCAGGTGGGTGCTATTTCTGACAGAAGGAGAGTGTCTTTGGATCTCTTATTCAAATTCAATTATGTACCACTAGCAATGCTTTGGTTTTTAGAGATAATAGTGAATTATACCTTAGAAATAATGAATATATTACATGCTTTAAGTTCTGCTTTTTTCGTTGTTGTTCATGTGTCAGGTGTGCAGAATTCTGTGGAGTTTGGTGTTCCTCTCCATGTGAGTCATTCGACTTGACGGTTTTTGATATTATTTTAATTACTATTTAAAAATACTCACTAAATAATTAGAATCCTTCTTCACCGGAAATATTATACTGTGGATAAACCAAGGTTAACACGATTTAAATTCACATTGAAACCATATTTGAGCATGAAGGCCAAATTTTCAGTGAGTCACACTGCCTTTTTCTCAGTGAGTCTGTGTGTGTTTGGGCATGGTTGCCCTTTTTGCTATTTCTTTAAATGCGTAATGCATGATTGCCCTTTTTGGTTGCAAAACCCAACATAAGTAGATTGATTTTCGATTTCCTGTATTCAATAATGTAGATGTGGTAGGGGTGAAAGTAAAATATCTCACTAAGAAATAAAGGAGTCCTACAAAAAAGACCCCCTGTCAAGAATAATGTCTTTTGTGTGCTCTTTGCCTCTGTTGATGACTAAGAAGTGGCAAGTTGGTGCTTCTGAATGATAATGTTGAAAGCAAAGAAATAACTGCACAGGTGAACTTTGAGCAGTGTGTCTGCATCACTTCTCTTTCTACAATAAGCAGCCTTATTAGAGATGGCTTATTATCCATCTCAGATGGTATTTAAAAAGAAATATATTTAACCATAAATGCCAGTTTAAAAATGCTTCAAATTTACATATATATTATACATTGTTCAAATGAAAGATGAAGTTATGACTTCACATCATCTCCTGTTTTTCTTTTTGAGCTCTTTCTGAGCTTTTGCCTTTTTCAAGCATTGGTTAAAATGCTGAGACAAGACACTGCTTCCTATGCTTTAGTCTTTGGAGGATGCAAATAGCATTTCAAATAGTAAACTCCAAGCCAAACAGAAATAAATTAAAATCTGGTTTTTGGGGATCTTTCAAAGAAGAAAAAATATTGCCATTGATAATTTCTCTGATTCTCAACAACGTATAAATCCCAAAGACAATAATATGTTTGCTATGTATGATTTGACACTTAAAATCTGTATTCACTTCAGCCATTCTGTGGAATCTAGTAAAATTTTGAGATCCATGTAGTATACTAACAGTATACTGCTGCCTCAACCTAAGCAAGAAATAGCTGTCAAGGGCTTCCTTTTATATACTTCTAAGATGAATAAATTGGGTATATAGGAAAAACATGGCCTGGAGACATACTAAAAGCTAATAACTTTTTTTTTCTGTTAGAGAATTAATTATGTGTTGGAAATATTATGTAAAGTGCATGGACATAGCAGAATTGCTGATGTTAAATCGAGTTATCTAAAGTCTGACAGTGTATACTGTTGCCTTGCCATCCCTGCTATGGTTAACTACATGGGTTATTCAGAAATGAAAGTTATATTTTGCTGCATCTGTTGATGATTAAAAAATGAAAGTTATACATTAGTGTCAGTTATGTAAAATCAAGATTTAATACTCTGCAGCATTTTATATGCACTTTAGGCCTACAAAGATCCAATAAAATAGAGAATGACTAATAGCAAAATTCAAGGCCAAATGTTAGAGGGTTTACAGCAACATATTACTTTATTGTGTGAGACTCACTGGTTCCATTCACTAAAGAATTATCCTTAAGATGTGGCATATCTGAACTAGTAACGTGATATTAATTGTAGATTCCCATAATCAAGCAGGAAAATGTGGTAATAGCCATTTCTGGATAAAATACTTAAAAATGTATAAACTAAGTAAAATGTTCATTTTCTCCTTTTCTTCTGAAGATCAAATTTGTTTTAAAAATGCACATTCACAATTCTGAAATTTTCCATTCATCAATAAGTTCTTCAATATATGAGAAAAAAACTAATTCTCCACAAAATTGCTATAATAGTCTTATACTACAATTGATCTATCAGCACAGCGGTATCACTGGTATTGCTTGTACTGCCACTCTAGAAAATTTTATTAAACAATTGTAGAATGAATTGAAGGAGAAATAATCTAGATAAGGCAACTACATCATCTATGTCTGATTCATTTTTCATTTCTCATATATTCACTCTTTTCTTTTTCCTCCTTCCCCTATAGCTGATGGGTTTAGGCTGTCATTTCTTTAAAAGCATAATGGCTTTTGTGACATTTCATGATGGTGTTTCTTTAGATAGTTCTCAGCAGGACAGAACTTTGGTATCACACAAATGTATGATACACACACACACACACACACATACACACACGCATTCAGAGAATATTCTTTTAGACAAGCCCAACAATTTTAATCTATAGGCCATCCTTCAGACATTGCTTTGTGCTTAAAGAAAAAGAAATAGGTGAAACTGAAACCCTTATATATTTAATAAAAAGACATTTGAAGTAGAAGATGCTGATATGCTGATACATAGAAATCAGTGACATGATCTATGTGTCACTTCGTTCTATGTCCTGCTTTTGTAAGGAAGAATTTTTAAGCTTGAATTCCTGATTGTCTAATTGAATAGTATGATATCTTGAAATCCACTCTGCTTTACACCAATAATGATCTCATCTTATAAAGAAGAGCCTTATATTTTTATTCTTCTCCCAGGAGAGGACCTCCAGACTTTGATGACTGGTTGCTAGATGCTAATATATAAGGACAATCAGAAAGTTCATATAGTATTAGAAATAGATTTATGTTCTGGAAAATAAATTACACCATCTCAGTACATGGACAGACAGCTGAAAGAACCTTCTGGAAAAAAATAAAGATAAGGACTGGGATTATATTCTCATATGTAAAACTATAATATAGTTAATGGTAGATATTTTTAAAAGCAGGCTATGTATCATCTGAGGGCATAGGACCTAGACCAGAGCTATCTTCTCTTCATTTACTGGGCGGCTCTTTCATGATAATACATAATCTCTGAAATATTTATGGAAATCTCAAAACATAGCTTACAATTTGTGGTGGATGTAATATTTTTGATAAATCATATGTTCACATAATAATATTACTAAACACAGTCATACATCACACAACATTTCAATGACTGACCATACATAAGATGATGAGCTCATGAGATTATAATAATGTATTTCTACTGTACCTTTTCTATGTTTAAATAAAAAAATTATCATTGTGTTACAGGTGCCCCCAGTATTCAGTACAGTATGATGCTGTACAGGTGTATAACCCAGAAGCAACGGGCTGTACCATAGAGTCCAGATGTGTAGTGGGCTGTTCTGTCCAGGTTTGTGTGAGCACAGTTTATGATGTTTGCACAAAAACGAAATCACCTAGAACGCATATCTCAGACGGTATCCTAGTCATTAAGTGATGTGTGACTGTACTGTGTTATGATGAAGTAGAAAACAAATAACAACATGGTGGGAGATTCAAATCCAACCCTATCAATTGTAACACAAGTAAAAGGACTAAGCATTTCAAATAAAAGGTAGAGAACACCAAACTGGATAAAAAGTACGACCAAACTACTTTCTCAACAGATGCACACTATTATTATTATTATATTATTTGAGACGGGGTCTTACTCTGTTGCCCAGACTAGAGTGCAGTGGTGCAATCACGGCTCACTGCAGCCTTGACCTCCCGGGCTTAGGCGATCCTCCCACCTCAGCCTCTCAGGTAGCTGAGACTATAGGCATGTACCACTAGGCCCAGCTAATGTGTGTGTGTGTGTGTGTGTGTGTGTGTGTGTGTGTGTGTGTGTGTGTATGTATGTTTCTTGTAGAGAAAGGGTTTCACTAAGTTGCTCAGGTTGGTCTTGAACTCCTGGGCTCAAGTGATCCACTCACCCTGGCCACCAAAAGTGTTGAGATTACAGGTGTGAGCCATTGCACCTCGTCCTCTGATGCACTTCAAATATCAAGTAAAAACTAAGTCAAAATAAAAAAAATGATTTTTCAAATAGCATGCAATGCTCACTCTATGCAAACTAGAGTGGCCAATTTAATATCAGTAAAGATAGACATCAAAACAAGAAGTAATACCAGAAATAAAATGTGCCAGTTAAAGTGGTAAAAAGATCATAAATGTGTATGCACCTGATAACAGATCTTCAAAATACATGAAGTAAAAACTGGCAGTAAAAAAGGGAAAAATAAACTCATTCATAATATAGTTAGAGATTGTAGCACCATTCTTTCAGCAACCAATAAAACAAGTAGAAAAAAAAGATTCGTAATAATGAACAACACTGTCAACCAAGTAAACCTAGTTGGTATTTATAGAACTCTATACTCAACAAATATAGAATACATTATTTTCCTATGTAATGGGGCTTCACAAATATGCTGGGTCATTAATACATTTCAAAGTATTGATGTCACATGTTTTCTGTGCATATGGAATTAAATTAAAAATTAACAAAAATAAAATATCTAAAAAATTCTCAAATAAAGATATTTATTTCCCAATTGAATTTCAAAAATGTTTTCAATGTTACTCAGTGGAAGACATACAATTATTTTTATCCATTGATTCAGAAACAACTAGATATCCATCTTCAAGG